>NC_000006.12:66246745-66549776 GCF_000001405.40 Homo sapiens | reverse complement strand
TATTACAATTTATTTTACTGGGTCTCTCTTCATATTTCCATATTCCATCTAATGAACTTCTAAATTTTTTTTTATTTTTTATCCTTACAAAGAGTGCTCCAATAAACATCTCTATAAAAATTTTCTACTGCATATTTATAGAAGTTTATCTAGGTTATATATTTAGAACTATAAATTGATTCAAACATTAAAACATTTTAAATTATTTTTGATACCTCTAACGTACTGCACAGTGGTTGTACCAATTTACTCTTTCACCAACAGGGAATTAGAGTTTCCAATTTCCCAAAAGCTTTCCAAGGTGGGCACTGTGGTGTGCACCTGTAGTCCCATCTACTCCAGAGGCTGAGGCAGGAGGATCTGCTTGATCTCAGGAGTGCAAAGCTGCAGTGAGCTACGATGGCACCACCATTCTTTCAGGCAGGGCGACAGAGCAAGACCCTATCTTGAAATTTTTAAATAAAATTTAAGAAAAGAAAACAAAGACAAAAACTTTCCAATACTTACTATTTTGTTTGGTGTCTTACTATTGCTCTACCTAATGGGAGTAAAATTGTATCTATCTCAACATGTTTTTCCACACCACTTTTCTAATGACTGAGAAGATTTGCCACCTTTAATATGCTTATTTTCTGTTCCTAATTATTTTCCTGTATATATTTAGGTCATATTATTTTATATTTGTCTGTTGAATGATTTATTTTTTGGGATTTATCAGAATTCTTTATACACTGTTGATATTAATTATCTTCATTTTATGAGAAATCTATGCTAAAAGTCAGATGTTGTCTTTTAACAAGGATTAAAGTGCAGCCTTTATTTAACAAACCCAAATGCCTATTCACTGCTTTTCCTGCTATTGAAAAGATCCATGCAAAGTAGAATTATGAGTTTTGCTTGTTTTCAGGGCATTTTCATCAAAATTTCAACAATAGCTCCTGGATGCACAGGAATGAATTCATTGTGTACTAACTCTGCTCCACATCCTGTCTATGATCAGGTCTGTAGCGGTAGTAGGAGGGCTCTGCATTAGCAGTTGTGGGAAGAAAATAGTTTAGAGGTTACCTGGAAAAAAAGCCTTCCCTACTGGGTGGTAATTGATTCTGTATTAGTTGTTTTATGAAACTATAGGGCATGCACCCTACCGACAACCCAGCTGTAACCTGGAGCTTTTCTACTTAACTTTTTCATGTCCCCTATGTGTGGACTATATAAGCATTTTCTTCAATGAGTTCCAAGATGTTTTAAATACCTTTATGAGTACTTGAGTTTTATTGAAGCAGATACTACAATTCTTTTAATAGAGAATTATCTTATGACCTATTTGCCACATTGGTACATAAAGCTTCACAGAATGTAAACAAATTAAAAATATGATTCATTTTAATTATTGAAACTTAAGTCACTTATAAATGTGTAAAAGTGATTTTTGTGAAATTGTCCTAATATTTAAAATATTACACTGTTTGGCAAATACAATTCTTTGTAAAATAGATGAAAGGAAATAAGTCAAATGTGAGTACAATTCCTCAATTTATCCGTTCTTCTCTAACACATACGTAACGATTTGAAAACAGTAATAATAAAGTATTCTAGAACATTGACTAAAGAGAAATATTTTATCTGCCTGTGAGAGGAAAAAGTAATATGCTGTGACTGTGGAGATTACAGTTTTGTTTCTTGTGTCAAGGTTTTGCTTGAAAAGTTACTTATAAAGACCCTTTAATCCTCAGATGTATGCTAGATTTTCATCCTTTCAAGAACCTCATTATTGCCATCTTCTGCCATGTCCCAGGTTTCCTGCAAAAGTCGAGATCAAACTGAATTACAACTTGAGACTCAGTCAACCAAAACGTGACAATGTGGCCTCAGTGGTTTCAGACAAAAGAAATTCGATATTCTGCAGTGTGTTTTGTGCTGTCGAGTTAAAGCCACATATTCCAGGGTGTTAAAAATCCATTGCTAAAATATTGATGAGATTTGTCCTCCAAGTCCTTGGGTAACCATCTCAAACTACTTTGTCATTTCACTGTCTATAGAGTTGTCATGTGGTTATAGGACACTCATTCCAGAACTTTCCAGATGAATTTCACCATCATGTTTTGGAACACAAAATAGTTGCATGCAAAGAGCATATGCTATTTCTTCATTATTGTAGAACAGTTATCTGTGCAACTTTGCATAGGAGGAGGTCAAAGAGGACATTTCAGCTGGTGTCATTTCTACAGGGATGTATTATAAACTGCATATATTTAAATTTTGTTTCAACTTTATTATACAAATTTAAGTGTTTCCAATTCATTATTATAATAATTATTCATATGTTCCTGAATTTTAAAACAAAAGACTTTTATAATAATTATAATAATAAAATTAATATATAATATAAAATTTAATCTTACAATAGGCAATTGTTCTGTTCTGTTGCTGTGTGTTTTTTTTTTTTACTGTTGCACCACTGACTGTGTTTCTGGTTATTTTTTTAGTAAGCATAATTTCTGTATGCTTCTATTTAAATAATGATACATCCATTAATTTTCTTCAAAATAATATTATACATACTGAAAAAGATAAATTGAATATCATAGTGGGAATTTATTATTTGCTTGTTTAATATTTTACATATTTTAAACAATGAGTCTGATCATTTCCATGTTCTTTGGTTCAGTAATTTTAGTTTAGAAATAAGAAAATTATTATTTTTATTATTATACTTTAAGTTCTAGTGTACATGTGCACAACGTGCAGGTTTGTTACATAGGTACACATGTGCAATGGTGGTTGGCTGCACCTTTTAACTCGTCATTTACACTAGGTATTTCTCCTAATGCTATCCCTCCCTCTGCCCCCAACACATGACAGGCCTCGGGGTGAGATGTTCCCCGCCCTGTATCCAAGTGTTCCTATTGTTCAATTCCCACCTATGAGTGAGAACATGCAGTGTTTGGTTTTCTGTCTTTGTGATCGTTTGCGCAGAATGATGGTTTCCAGCTGCATCCATTTCCCTGCAAAGGACATGAACTCACCCTTTTTTATGGCTACATAGTATTCCGTGGTGTATATGTGCCACATTTTCTTAATCCAGTCTATCATTGATGGGCATTTGGGTTGGTTCCAAGTCTTTGCTATTGTGAATAGTGCTGCAATAAACGTATGTGTGCATGTGTCTTTATAGTAACATGATGTATAATCCTTTGGGTATATCCCCAGTAATGTGATTGCTGGGTCAAATTGTATTTCTAGTTCTAGATCCTTGAGGAATCACCACAGTGTCTTCCACAGTGGTTGAACTAGTTTATACTCCCACCAACAGTGTAAAAGCATTCCTATTTCTCCACATCTTCTCCAGCAACTGTCATTTCCTGACTTTTTAATGATCACTATTCTAACTGGTGTGAGATGGTATCTCATTGTGGTTTTGATTTGCATTTCTCTGATGACCAGCGATGATGAGCCTTTTTTCATGTGTCTGTTGGCTGCATAAATATCTTCTTTTGAGAAGTGTCTGTTCATATCTTTCAAGCAATTTTTGATGTTTTTTTTTCCTTGTAAATTTGTTTAAGTTCTTTGTAGAGTCTGGATGTTAGCCCTTTGTCAGATGGGTAGATTGCAAAAATTTTCTCCTGTTCTGTAGGTTGCCTGTTCACTCTGATGGTAGTTTCTTTTGCTGTGAAGAAGCTCTTTAGTTTAATTAGATCCCATTTGTCTATTTTGGCTTTTGTTGCCATTGCTTTTGGTGTTTTAGTCATGAAGTCTTTGCCCATGCCTATGTCCTGAATGGTATTGCCTAGGTTTTCTTCTAGGGTTTTTATGGTTTTAGGTCTAACGTTTAAGTCTTTAATCCATCTTGAATTAACTTTTGTACAAGGTGTAACGAAGGGATCCAGTTTCAGCTTTCTATATACAGCTAGCCAATTTTTCCCAGCACCATTTATTAAATAGGGAATCCTTTCCCCATTTCTTATTTTTGTCAGATTTGTCAACTATCAGATGGTTGTAGATGTGTGGTGTTATTTCTGAGGCCTTTGTTCTGTTCCATTGGTCTATATCTCTGTTTTGGTACCAGTACCATGCCATTTTGTTTACTGTAGCCTTGTAGTGTAGTTTGAAGTCAGATAGTGTGATGCCTCCAGCTTTGTTCCTTTGGCTTAGGATTGTCTTGGCAATGCAGGCTTTTTTTGTTCCATATGAACTTTAAAGTAGTTTTTTCTAACTCTGTGAAGAAAGTCATTGGTAGCTTGATGGGATGGCATCAAATCTGTAAATTACCTTGGGCAGTATGGTCATTTTCACGATATTGATTCTTCCTATCCATGAGCATGGAATGTTCTTCCATTTGTTTGTGTCCTCTCTTATTTCCTTGATCAGTGGTCTGTAGTTCTCCTTGAAGAGGTCCTTCACATCCCTTGTAAGTTGTATTCCCAGGTATTTTATTCTCTTTGAAGCAATTGTGAATGGGACTTCACTCATGATTTGGCTCTCTGTTGTTTTCGGTGTATAGGAATGCTTGTGATATTTGCACATCGATTTTGTATCCTGAGACTGTTGAAGTTGCTTTTCGGCTTAAGGAGATTTTGGGCTGAGATGATGGGGTTTTCTAAATATAAAATCATGTCGTCTGCAAGCAGGGACAATTTGACTTCCTCTTTTCCTAATTGAATACCCTTTGTTTCTTTCTCTTGCCTGATTGTCCTGGCCAGAACTTCCAATACTATGTTGAATAGGAGTGGTGAGAGAGGGCAGCCCTGTCTTGTGCCAGTTTTCAAAGGGAATGCTTCCAGTTTTTGTCCATTCAGTAAGATATTGGCTGTGAGTTTGTCATAAATAGCTCTTATTATTTTGAGATACACTCCATCAATATCTAGTTTATTGAGAGTTTTTAGCATGAAGGGCTGTTGAATTTTGCCAAAGGCCTTTTCTATACCTATTGAGATAATCATGTGGTTTTTGTCATTGGTTCTGTTTATGTGATGGGTTATGTTTATTGATTTGTGTATTGATTGTGTATGATTTATGTATGTTTATTGATTTGTGGAAGTCTTGCATCCCAGGGATGAAGCTGACTTGATTGTGGTGGATAGGCTTTTTAATGTGCTGCTGAATTCAGTTTGCCAGTATTTTATTGAGGATTTTCACATTGACGTTTGTCAGGGATACTGGTCTAAAATTTTCTTTTTTTGTTGTGTCTCTGCCAGGCATTGTTATCAGGATGATGCTGGCCTCATAAAATGAGTTAGGGAGGATTCCCTCTTTTTCTATTGATTGGAATAGTTTCAGAAGGAATGGAACCAGCTCCTCTTTGTACCTGTGGTAGAATTCAGCTTTGAATCCGTCTGGTCTGGGACTTTTTTTGGTTGGTAGGCTATGAATTATTGCCTCAACTTCAGATCCTGTTACTGATCTATTCAGAGATTCAACTTCTTCCTGCTTTAGTCGTCAGAGGGTGTATGTGCACAGGAATTTATCCATTTTTTCTAGATTTTCTAGTTTGTTTGCATAGAGGTGTTTATAGTATTCTCTGATGGTAGTTTGTATTTCTGTGGGATCGGTGTTAATATCCCCCTTATCATTCTTTATTGCGTCTATTTCATTCTTCTCTCTTTTCTTCTTTATTAGTCTTGCTAGTGGTCTATCAATTTTGTTGATCTTTTCATAAAACCAGCTCCTGGATTCATTGATTTTTTGAAGGGTTTTTTGTGTCGCTATCTCCTTCAGTTCTGCTCTGATCTTAGTTATTTCTTGCTTTCTGCTTGCTTTTGAATTTGTTTGCTCTTGCTTCTTTACTTCTTTTAATTGTGATGTTAGGGTGTCAATTTTAGATCTTTCCTGCTTTCTCTTGTGGGCTTTTAGTGCTGTGCATTTTCTTCTACACACTGCTTTAAATGTGTTCAGAGATTCTGGTACATTGTGTCTTTGTTCTCATTGGTTTCAAAAAATATCTTTATTTCTGCCTTCATTTCATTATTCACCCAGTAGTCATTCAGGAGCAGGTTGTTCAGTCTCCATGTAATTGTGTGGTTTTGAGTGAGTTTCTTAATCCTGAGTTCTAATTTGATTGTACTGTGGTCTGAGAGACAGATTGTTATGATTTCTGTTTTTTACATTTGCTGAGGAGTGCTTTACTTCCAACTATGTGGTCAATTTTGGAATAAGTGCAATGTGGTGCTGAGAAGAATCTATATTCTGTTGATTTGGGGTGGAGAGTTCTGTAGATGTCTATTAGGTCTGCTTGGTGCAGAACTGAGTTCAAGTCCTGGATATCCTTGTTAACCTTCTGTCTTGTTGATCTGTCTAATATTGATAGTGGGGTGTTAATGTCTCCCATTATTATTGTGTGGGAGTCTAAGTCTCTTTGTAGGTCTCTAAGGACTTGCTTTATGAATCTGGGTGCTCCTGTATTGGGTGCATATATATTTAGGATAGTTAGCTCTTCTTGTTGAAATGATCCCGTTACTATTGCATAATGGCCTTCTTTGTCTCTTTTGATCTTTGTTGGTTTAACGCCTGTTTTGTCAGAGACTAGAATTGCAACCCCTACTTTTTTTGCCGTATATTTGCTTGGTAGATCTTCCTCCATCCATTTATTTTGAGCTTATGTGTGTCTCTGCACATGAAATGGGTCTCCTGAATACAGCACACTGATGGGTCTTGACTCTTTATCCAATTTGCCAGTCTGTGTGTTTAATTGGGGATTTAGCCCATTTACATTTAAGGTTAATATTGTTATGTGTGAATTTGATCTTGTCATTATGATGTTAGCTGGTTATTTTGTCCTTTAGTTGATGCAGTTTCTTCCTAGCATCGACACTCTTTACAATTTGGCATGTTTTTGCAGTAGCTGGTACCAGTTGTTCCTTTCCATGTTTAATGCTTCCTTCAGGAGCTTTTGTACAGCAGGCCTGGTGGTGACAAAATCTCTCAGCATTTGCTTATCTGTAAAGGATTTTATTTCTCTTTCACTTATGAAGCTTAGTTTGGCTGGATATGAAATTCTGGGTTGAAAATTATTTTCTTTAAGAATGTTGAATATTGGCCCCCACTTTCTTCTGGCTTGTAGATTTTCTACTGAGAGATCTACTGTTATTCTGATGGGCTTCCCTTTGTGGGTAACCCAAGCTTTCTCTCTGGCTGCCCTTAACATTTTTTCCTTCATTTCTACCTTGATGGATCTGACAATTATTTGTCTTGGGGTTGCTCTTCTTGAGGAGTATCTTGGTTGTGTTCTCTCTTTTTCCGCAACTTGAATGTTCACCTGCCTTGCTAGGTTGGGGAAGTTCTCCTGGATAACATCCTGCAGAGTGTTTTCCAACTTGGTTCCATTCTCCCAGTCACTTTCAGGTACACCAATCAAACATAGATTTGGTCTTTTCACATAGTCTTATATTTCTTGGAGGCTTTATTTATTTCTTTTTACCCTTTTTTCTAAACTTTTCTTCTCACTTTATTCATTAATTTGATCTTCGGTCACCGATACCCTTTCTTCCACTTGATTGAATCAGCTATCGAAGCTTGTGTATGTGTCACGTAGTTCTCAAGCCATAGTTTTCAGCTCCATCAGGTCACTTAAGGTCTTCTCTACACTGTTCATTATAGTTAGCCATTCATCTAATCTTTTTTCAAGGTTTTTAGCTTCCTTGCAATAGGTTTGAACATCCTCCTTTAGTTTGGAGAAGTTCGTTATTACCAACCTTCTGAAGCCTACTTCCGTCAGCTCATCAAAGTCATTCTCCATCCAGCTTTGTTCCATTGCTGGCAAGAAGCTCCAACCCTTTGGAGGAGAAGAGGCATTCTGGTTTTCAGAATTTTCACTTTTCTGTTCTGGTTTTTCCCCATCTTTGTGGTTTTTATCTACCTTTGGTCTTTGATGTTGGTGACCTACAGACATCCTTTGATGTGGATGTCCTTTTTGTTGATGCGGATGCTATTCCCTCCTGTTTGTTCGTTTTTTTTCTAACAGTCAAGGCCCTCAGCTGCAGGTCTGTTGGAGTTTGCTGGAGGTCCACTCCATACCCTGTTTTCCTGGGTGTCACCAGCAGAGGCTGCAGAATGGCAAATATCGCTGCCTGATCCTTCTTCTGGAAAATTCATCCCAGAGGGGCACCTGCCTGTATGAGGTGTCAGTAGGCCCCTACTGGGAGGTGTCTCCCTGTTAGGCTACATGCGGGTGGTCAGAGATCCACTTGAGGAGGCAGTCTGTCTGTTCTCTGAGCTCAAACACTGTGCTGAGAGAACCACTGCTCTCTTCAGAGCTGTCATACAGGGATATTTAAGTCTGCAGAAGTTTCTGCTGCCTTTTGTTAATCTATGCCCTGCTCCCAGAGGTGGACTCTACAGAGGCAACAGGCCTTGCTGAGCTGTGGTGGGTTCCACCCAGTTTGACCTTCCCTGGCTGCTTTGTTTATCTACTCAAGCCTCGGCAATGGTGGACACCCCTCCCCCTGCCAGGCTGCTGCCTTGCAGTTCAATCTCAGACTGCTGCACTAGCAGTGAGCAAGACTCTGTGGGTGTGGGACCTTCCTAGCCAGGTGCCGGATATAATCTCCTGGTGTGCTGATTGCTAAGACCATTGGAAAAGCGCAGTATTAAGGTGGGGGTGTCCCGATTTTCCTGGTACAGTCTGTCAGGGCTTCTCTTGGCTAGGAAAGGGAAATCCCCCGACCCCTTGTGCTTCCCAGGTGAGGCGACGTCCTGCCCTGCTTTGGCTCACCCTCCATGGGCTGCACCCAGTGTCCAACCAGTCCCAGTGAGATGAACCAAGTAACTCAGTTGGTAATGAAGAAATCACCCGTCTTCTGCATTGATCACACTGGGAGGTACAGACTGGAGCTGTTCCTATTCGGCCATCTTGGTGAAAATTAATGTTTTTAATATAAATTGTTTCTCCCTAGAGCAAGAATTGTTGCTCCCTAGAGCAAGAATTGTTGAATATAGACTAGCATATCTTCCTACTTTATATCTATATTAATGTATGAAAAAATAACCAAAAACAGTAGGCAAAATACTTCAGATAAGATTTCACAAGCCGTAGTAGAATAATTGTTCAGAGGCTTTTCTACCTGACATGAGTGGTCCAAGTAGTTATTTTATCAGTAAACTTAAAAGCTCTTCTAAGCAAGAAAACATGACAAATAATATGAGAATGCCTGACATTTTCATTTAGAATTAAAAGATGCATAAATAGTAATTAATTAACCAGCCTAATGGTGTGAAGTTTAGTCTTCACTTAGAATATATTTTGCATGACTAGGATTCTATCATTTTTCTTACAAAGCCCATAATTGCAGTAAATAAGACTTATGACTTCTGGTCACAATGTCTAAAAAATAAATGAAAACTTATATAATTTATGAAACAAATTATCGGTAGTCCCTTTATTTTTTTTTTAATTTTTTAAAGCTATCTTATTCTCATTCAGGAGATTTTTGAACTATTCACTTTTATTATACTTAAAACATTTTATATTAAAGTGTGATTTCCCTTCATATTTTATCATTTTTATATTAAATGCTATAACAATTACATTTAAGTGCTATAATAATTTCAACTAGCATAAACAAATTTGGGTATAAATATAACTGATTTTTGGTAATCTGAAATCTGGTTCTTGTGACTATATGAATTCATAAAAGAACTGTAATATTCCACTAGCTACAACACTGCATTGTCCTTGAGCATTGTCAGTGTGTTTCATAGGGATTTAAACTATATGATAATGGGAAGGGTATTAAATAAGGTTAATAAATATTTTTTGAATATAGTAGTCAATTTTTTAAAAAATGTATTTCTAGGTTCATGAATGGCAATTTTTTCCCAGTCATCAATATTTAATGGAATTAGCATTTTTGTTTCAAACTGCTTAAAAATTTCATCATGGATAACCAAATTTAGTAAATATATTCCACTATGTCAGTAGTTGCAGGAATGTGACCTTGTTTTATTCCTAGCAATTGATATTGACTGAAATACTTGGTGAACAGTTCCAGGAAGCATATTCGATTCTGCTAGGGCCAAAAGACTCTGGGGGATTAATTCCCTAACCTAAAAGCCCAGAGTAAGCAGGGTGCTACATTTCAGACTGTTGCCCCGAATCCCACATAAGCCTTTACACTGCCATGCTCTCATGAACTGCTCAACACTAATGATTTCTCCAGGGCTTGGGGTAAGGAGTCAGCTGCAGAACGTGTTGTCACATACAAATGGGAATAGCAAGATATCATGTAAGTTTCTGTTTGATACTAGAAGATATAAAGTTATCCTTTGAACATTAAATTCCTTGAAATTAATTTCCCTTATTTTTAATAGTGGATACAATGAAGTTACATTACCAATGATAAACTAATTTTATAGGCTGTTGTTCCAACTGGTTATCCTCAACACAACACTCTCAACATGCTTCCAGGGATGCTTAGAGATTTTGTACACCTGCTAATGAAGAACTCTGGTCTATCATGGCAGAAAATAAGTCAGGATCAACTATAATGTCCTCCTGGCTAGTACGACTTCCAACAGGGCATGACTGGTGCACCCTAGCCACATGCTTGATACCAAATATTCCATTTATATGACCCATACAATTACAAATGCTGGCACCTTCCACCATATTTGAAATGGGGGATAAGAAAAAAAAATATTCCTACTGCTATATTCTCTTATTTAAGTACCAAACAGTGCCTCTTTTGTTCCAGCATCTTACAAAGAGGGTTTAGGGAAGCATATTATTCCATTTTTACATATAACCTTATATCTCCATGGGATTAAAGCATGAATCAACTCAGAGGCTGAAAATGGAGACAATCCAAATGACACACAGCATGTCATTGTGACAGCTGGCACTTTATGAATGGACTGGGCTTAAAAGGAAAATGAGAGTCAGAGGCAAAAATTGGCATGTTTCTTTTAAGCCATCAGATGCTGGCTAGTCCACTCACATTGATAATAATGTCCCCAGTGTGAGGATAGATCACATTCCTTTATCCTGATGCCATTAAAAATTCATTTTATCTCTTTTATGCCTTTTGTATAAGATGATTTTAAAATAAAGCACAAATCGGAAAGTACACATTATCACATACTTAGTACTGATTATACACTCATAAATCAAGCTTTTAATTGTGTTTGCTTTCATGTTGATCTACTACAGGAGGCAGAGATTTTACTGTAAGTGGTTTTATTAAATATAGTTTATATGAGTTCACTCTGTACATGCCACAGTTTCAGGGTACAAATTCTGAGAAGCACTGGGCCAGATTCTAGATTGTGCTTAACTAGTCAAAGGCCAACATGAGAGGCTTCTTGGGAGTTAGCCAGTGTTTCTTTGTCAGATCTAATGTACTGAGTTTATTAATTTGACTATTTCATTTAAAATTTTCTAATACCAGGTCTCTCATTATTCCTTCAAATTGTGAATTTTATATAACCTGCCCTACTAGAAATTTGGAAGTCCATAGGACCATTCCTTATGTCTCCATTGTACATTGGGTTCAGGGATGGAAATGGCTCTGTTAGTTGACATTTGCTTTTGTAAAATTTACTAGTGACTCTGTCTCTCTCTACTTGAAAAATCTTGACAGCATTTTTTTTTTTTTTGGAGATTCAGGCGAGTAATTATATAGAGACCCTTCTCTCAGGTTACGCTACTTCAAGGTGCCACAATTTACACTTAGGATCAGATGGATACTAACACATGAGCCTGTCATTTATTCCTTTCTCCATGGCTAACCAGCGAAAGTTTTAGAATGTTGGATCTGCCTTTCTTATTGCTGAAATCTCTGGCTACTTCTTTCTCACTTGAGTGATTCCATTTTAGAAATAGCCAGATAAATAGAAATAGCGTAGATAAATTAGCCATGGGTGCTAATTTATCTCCTAATTTATAAAAAAAAAATGAGTTCTAGCTTCCAGAATAAACTCAAAATTTTGAATAACAAAAGAGAATTACATTATAAATAATTGGTCTTGATTTTGGACTCTACAAAGGCCAAAAGATAAATGTCTGAAGGCTAAAAGATAAATTGCTGCATTTGAAGTCACAAGACCTAGGTTACAACAGTGGCTCTGTTATTAATGAACTGTTTGATGCTAGAAAGTCACTTTAACTCTCTAGAGCTCAGTGATCTCATCTGTAATGAGGTTGGGTTCGAGCAGTATTTTTCAAGTCAAATTTTATTTTAGTGTGGTAAATGATTTAAATTACATACCAGAGATCCTAGGAGAGAAGTATTAATAGAAAAAATGGAGATTAAAAAAGAAGAAACATTTGCTTTCTTTGGTCCACAGACAATGGGTAAAGAAGGACTAAACTACATAGTCTGTTCAGCATTTTATAAATATAAACTAGAATTTCATGTCACTACTGATCCATTATTACCCTTTCATGCATAATAAATTATGTGAATGTCTATTGATTTATCCACATTCTCTCATATTCTTTTTTTTAAACAAAAGAAAGCCACTTGAAAAAGACCTTTTGAAATCACCACTAATCAAGTTTTTAATCATATAACAGAATATAAAATTCACGTTGGTTTCAAATTCATAACTTTGTTCTCCTACGCAATGTGTCTCAAATAAATGAGTCAATAGACGGCCAAACTCCATTATTTGTAATATATTTTAAAGGCTTTATTGACAAGTATGTTTGTCACTCAGAATTTTGTTTTCAGTTTGTTAAATGCAACACAAATTAAACACACATTATAAAATCTATCTGCAATATATCAACATTTAAACAAGATATTATAACACAGACATACTAGTGATTTTAAGAGATAAGATCTAAACAATGACTTGGAATTACATAGTCAGCGTAATATCAATAACAATTATAATGCTCCCAGTATTCTATAATGTATTCATTGTTCATATGTATTATAAACATTTCTGTTATTCTCTTTGTTTTTTTTTGTAGGGGGGGTCTGTTTTCTTTTGCTTGTTTTAGATAGGGCATTAATAAGTATGTTTATGCATGTTAATTTAGCTCACACAAGTACTTTCAATGCCATGTGTGCTGATTTATCTCCTCAATTCATTGATCCTTTTCCATCCTTCCTATTTGTATCATAAAGACACCATTGAGAAAGCAATATAAGCTATCATTATGCCTTGAAGAGACTATATTTTGTCTAATTGCAGTGGAAAGTCTAATTGATTATTTCAGTGTGTATGCAGTTCATTCTCAGTGAAATAGACATATATGGAAACACATCCCTAAGGAAGCATTGGCATTACAGTATCACCAGGGAACTTGGTCGATTGGAGCTTTTGCTCATTGGCTGTGGTGAGGATTCTGATTCTTGAACAGATCACTTTGATTCCTTCTGTCCTACAGACTATACACATAACCATTGCCAGTTAACATTACCGGAATATATAAATAGCAGTACTCACAAAAGGAACAGAAAGTACACATGGATAGCTCAATGTAAATCTACCTATGCTGCCAGGGGACAATGCAGTGCATATAGATTTTTAGCACCAGAAAGAGCTTTATATATCAACAACTTCCTCATTTTACAGATGAGAAAATTCAAATTTGGAGACACTGAGATACTCTTGGTCAGACAGCTAATTAGTGGCAACAGCAAGATGAAATCCCTGGTCTCCTGATTCTCAGTCAGTTGCTCTTTCCACTTCACTTGCTGCATGTTCTATTGACAATGGATGAGAAGAAGTTAAGTCTTGCTGTGTGAAGTAACACGTTACAATTAACCATGAGTATTTCTTTCCGGTTTTATTTTTTAGGTATAAACATCATTAAAGCAAAACAAAGTTTTGGATGTTGTTTACAAACTAAATCACATAGAAAGATTGGGGACAGTCTTTTCTAATTATGTAGGCTGTTAAGTTGTACATAAAATCAAATCTTGTCACTTCAAGAATACATAATTGCCTACCAATCTAGTCAAATATGTCAATGAACTGAATACAACAGCCTAATGTGGGATACTCCTCTCTCTCCCTCCTGCTATATTCCACTCTTTGCTAAATTTCACAGCATGTTGAAGTAGAGAATAATGTGGCATTTTCCCTTTGTTACAAAGAATTATTTTCTTTAATCTTGCTGCCTCCCTAGCATTTCTCTCTGCCTTTTATCCTCCTGTTCTGGAGTAAGCACTGGAAGAGAATTATAAACTGGTGAACTTCCCAAGGCTCTTCCTGTTTACCTACTGCAAACTTGAGAGACGCATGCAGCCAGAGTAATGTCCTTTCCTGACCTCTTAAGTTGAGAAGGCTATACTCCCAGAAAATACAAGGCGCTTTTACACACTATGCCCTTCATCCTCCATTTTAAAGATGAGCACGTCTCCTGCTTAAAGGCTCATTTATGTTCCACTTTAGCTAGTGCAAAATCATTCTTTGGCTGAAAATTTGAAAAAAAATTATAAAATTACTTTTCCCTAGAAAACAGTTATGTCTGGGTACCTAATAAAAAGGTCTCTAAATTGAAAAGTAGGTGGCGAGGTTGTCATACTTTTCTGCATCTGAGGTGCTGCATAAGCAAGAAGTTACCTTCCGAAGTAATTTTAATTATAGTAAGGTAGCTCATACCACTGAGTAATTTTCAAGTCTCTTGGGAAATCTCAGATATATGAACTTTTAAATTTTTTCCTTCCTTTTAGTTACTCTTTTGTCTTCCTTTTCTGATGCTTCTTATATCTGTTCTAGTTTATCAGGTGGTAATGGTATACAAAATATCCAGAAGATTAAATAGCAAGATTCTTTTACTGGCAAGACAATTTATCATGTTTTTTTTCTTTATAGTTCTTCCAATTTATTATCTTTCTCCCTGCCACTGTATATCCTTCTTCTTGTCTCCTCGCTGTTTTCACCTTATTTCCTTATTCTATTTGTCCAGTCCCTCTAATCACTTCCTTTATTTGCTTGGTTACTTTTTTCCTAAAAATATACAAACTTTTGATGAATACAAATAGGAGTGGAAAAAACTGCAATGGTACTGAAAAAATGTACAAGTTCATTTTAGATCATCTCTTAAGCAAAGTTATTTTGTAAGAGAATTTAGCAACAATAATTAAATATGTAGAATATTTCTAATAAGCCAAGAAATGCATTCTAACATTTTGGAAAAACATGTATTTTAAATAGTATTTCAGTTTTTAAATAAAATTTAAAATGGCATTTAAAGCTATTTGAAACCCACTCTCAGTAGCTTATTTAAAGATGGCTTGGTAACAGTAAGTTTTCTTACAGCAAGGTGTGGTGAAACCCTGGCACTGAGTGCAGAAATGTATAATCTAACAAATTAAAATGAAAAATAGGATTTGAATATCCATCTGATTATACACAGATGAAAAATTTGTTTGCTGGAATATGGTAAGTATGATGCAGTCAATACAGTGTAAAATACCTGTAATAAAAAAAGAGATGTGCATGCATAAGTACACAAAGTTAGAAAGGAGTCTCAGGAGCTTATCCTGAGGAAGTTAAAAGAATTCTATTTTCCATTCATGCATTGCATGATTTATTATAACCGTTCTATAGAGAAGCACCCAACAGAGAAACCGTGGTTAAAGTTAGCTTGTTGTTTCCACCATAAATCCCCCTTTTTGAATGATTTATAACACTGCTTTTTTATTTGCTTTTCCCTGAAACTTGGTATATAGGTTCTTAAACTCTGAATCATTATTTCCTCAAGTTTAATTAACATAAGGTTAGCTTTTCTTTTTTTTTCTATCAACCGGGGAAACACACACACACAAAAGTCACATGGGATATCACAAATTCTATGTTTCTGCAAAAGGGCAGCTGCCAACAGGAAGCAGATAATGATTGTCATATAAGAATCCTTTTAAAAATCCCTGCTGGACGAAATGAGTATGTGGAGTGTTCTAGGGCAATTTAGTTAAAAACCAGCTTCTGATTTCAGTCAATGGAGCATATTTCAGAACGAAATTTGCAGCACTGCAACAATAATTATAATTTAAGACATCCAGAACTACAAAAATAAAATCTAATATTAAGTATCTCTCTCTAAAAACTGTGACTTGCTCAAAGTATTACAGTCCTTTCGAAAAACTATGGGTTGACCCTAGCATTGTTTAGTTTACTTTGAAAATTGTTCTTATTTTTTCTCCGGAAAATTATATTTCACATTTAGGATCATGTAGAAACAAATACAAATACAAATGATACTTTATAAAATAAATATTTTTTACTTTCTATTGAAGTTCAGTATTTTGCACAAATCAAATGCCATAAATATATCCATGGAAGTTAGTTTTTATATGAATAAACATACGTTAGTTAAAATACTTAATTAGATATTTATGTTGACTTTGAGAACTGTGTGTAGCATACTTTTACATGTAAATAATTTAAGATTATATAGTTGATAAGGTTACGCTGTGTCCCCTACCTACAATCTCATCTTGAATTATAATCCCCAAGTGTCAAGGGCGGGACCAGGTAGAGGTAATTGGATCATGGGGATGGTTTTCCCCATGTTCTCGTGATAGTGAGTGAGTCTTATGAGATCTGATGGTTTTATAAGCATCTGCTATTTCCCCTGATTGCACTCACACTGTCTTACTGCCCTGTGAAGAAGGTGCCTGCTTTTCCTTTGTCTTCATCTGTAATTGTTAAGTTTCCTGAGGCCTCCCCAGCTACGTGGAAATGTGAATCAATGAAACCTCTTTCCTTTATAAATAACCCAGTCTTGTGTATTTCCTCATAGCAGTGTGAGAATGGACTAATACAATAGGGTTTTGAAATACATGCATTCCCTTCTACCAGTCTAACCACCTTTCTCTGTCTCTGTTGCTATCTTTACCTGTTGTGTCCCTTCTTTACATTTCTATTCTTAGAGTTTTCCTATGCTCTCTTCTATTTTTTTATCTAGCTGATCCTCTTGAGTAAGCTAGAGGATTGCTACTTTTTACCGATTTTTTCTTAATATCTTAATATTGATAACTCCTGAATTTATGATACAGTTGAAGTCTCACCCTTGCATTTTATGCCACCATACCAAATGTGTACATTGCCTAATGTACACATTTATCTGAAGGGTCCACGTTACCTAAAACTCAACTGGATCAGAACTGAATTATTTATGTTTGTTCTCCAAAGTCTACCCCACCACATTATTTTTTATTAAGGTGTGTGAAAATTATAATTTTTCTTTCCTTTTTTTTTTTTTTTTTTTTTGAGATGGAGTCTCGCTCTGTCACCCAGGCTGGAATGCAGTGGCATGATCTCAGCTCACTGCAACCTCCACCTCCTGGGTTCAAGCTATTCTACCTCAGCCTCCCTAGTAACGGGGATTACAGGGGTGCACATCACCACAGCTGGCTAATTTTTTGTATTTTTAGTAGAGAAGAGGTTTCACCCTGTTGTCCAGGTTTCTCTTGAACTCCTGACCTCAAGTGATCCACATGCCTTGGCTTCCCAAATTGCTGGGATTACAGGTGTAAGCTGCCATGCCTGGCCCAAATTATAATTTTTTATTGTGTTTTTCAAGTTATTCATCTGAGCACTTCTATTTCTGAATAAATTTTCTATCATTAGAATTTAATGGAAAACATTTCTAAAATATAAATTAGTATGATTCTTTAGTATCTGTGTAAACCTGGGCATACCCCAACCTCACTGTATCATCTTATAATTGAATATTTAGTTGTCTTTATATCTAGATAGATAGATAGATAGATAGATAGATAGATAGATAGATAGATATCTGAATATGTTCTGGGTGCCTAGAATGTACTCAGCTCATAACATACGCTTAAGAAATTTTTGTTGGATGAAAACGTTGAATATGAAAACACCCTAATAGTTTTAATCATATATTTAACAACTTATAATTGTTTCAGCAATTTTTATTAGATTTTATATTTGTCTACATGATTTATTATAAATATTTTTATTTTTTACTATTGTCAATGATATTAATATTTTATTGAGTAATAAAAAGTAAGTCATGTAAATTATGATTTAACTCAAAATTATGAATGACTAAGTTAGTTCTCAACAAAAGCAATAAAATTTTATTTCTACTGTTGCCGTTATCTTATTCGAACCCTACAGGTGAACTACACTGGGCTCATTCCACTCTTATAATCCATTCCTCATTATTTCACCAAAAAATATATCTCTCTTTATTTCGTAGAGACGAGGTTTGAATGTATTGATCTATTTTTAGGGAATTGACATATAGAGATATTACATCTTCCGACTTGTGGTCTATCTGTGTATTTACTTGTTGTCTTTCATTTTACTCAGTACTATTTTGCACTGTAGAGATCTTTTATGTCTTTTGTCGTATTTTTGAATATTCCTATTGTTTCTGGCTATTGTAAATAGTACTAGTTTTAAAATGTTATTTTCTTGTTTCTTTTTTTTTATATTTATCTTGTATCCTCCAACATTGTTAAACTCATTTATTAATTCTGGAAGCTATTTTGTAGATTTTTACAGTTTTTTTACGTAGAAGATTATATTGTTGGCAAATAAAGACTTGATTTTCTCAGTCTTCTTTTTGAATCTGAATGCCTTTTATTTCTTCTTGCTTCATTGTAGGATATAACTATCCGAGTATAATGTTGAATAGAAGCAGCATGAGTAAACATCGCTGTGCTTCTTTTAACCTTAGTATATACTCAGTCTTTTACAATTAAATATGATATTAACTATAGAATATTTATTAATGTGATTTACAGGGTTAAAACAATTTTCTTTTATTCCTAAATGTTGGATTCTCTAAAATGTCTTCATCTATAATAATGTTATTATTTTTAGTTTTGTAATATGATGACTTACATTAATTTTTAAATTTATAGCAACTTTGCATTCTTATAATAAAGCTCTCTTGATCACAATATATTATATTATATTTATTTTTGGATTAAAGTATCTAAAATTCTGTTAAGAACCTTTGCATCTATATTTAGGAGAGATATTGATCTGTAGTTTGGCCTCTTCTAAAAACTTTGTCTGCTTTACACATCAAGATAAAAGTGGCCCCTTAAAATTTGTTGGGAAGTATTTAATCATCTGAACACTAATGGAAAAGTTTGTGTATAATTTGTGGTATTAGTCTTACACATATTTGGAAGAACTCACCAGTGAAATTTTGTGTGTATAGAGTTTTTTTATTAGGAAGCTTTAAACTACAAATTTTTTTAGCACATATTTGGCTATTTTTTAGTACATATTTTGCCAAACGTTATGTTTACCTTTTAGTGAGCTTTACTTGCTTTTGTGTCTTTCAAAGTATCTCTTCATTTACTCTAAGTTGTTAAATGTCATAAAGTTGTACAAAATATTGTCATGTCATTATTTTAATATCTGAAAACACTGTAATGATTTTACCTCTCTTATTCCTGAAATAAGGAATATTTGGAAAATATTCTCTTTTTCGTTCTCTCTCTCAGTCTCACTAAAAATTGACATGCATCAGTTTTATTTATATTTTCGAAGTATGACTTTTGGCTTTCATTGAATTTCCTTAATTACTTTTTGTTTTCTATTTCAAATATTTCTGTTATGATCTTAATTCTGCTGCTGCTGCAGCAGACTTTATATACACTTATTTTTCTAGCTTATGCGCTTACGCAGCTGACTTTATATGCACTTATTTTTCTAGTTTCTTAGGTGAATCCTGATGTTACTGATTTGATAGCTTTCTTATTTTCTGGTAAAGATATTAAGTGGTATAAACATTCCCGTAAGGTATGGCTTTAATAGCACTCCACAAATTGTGATATATTGAGGTTTAATTTTCATTCACTTCAACATACTCACTAATTCTCTTTTAAATTTCTAGGGTTTTTTCCTTAGGTCATTTAAAAGAGTGTCATTTGGTTTCCAAATATTTAGTTATTTTTTATGAATATTTTAAATGTATTTAACTGAATTTTATCTCAATCAGAGAACAAATTTGTATAATTTGAGTCTTTTAAAATTTGCTGAGACTTGCATTATGACCCCAAATATATCTTATCAAGGTAAATGTTACATGTGCATTAAAAATAAATGTACATCATGCTATATTTGAGTGATGTGTTCCATATATAACAATTGAATCAAATTGATAGTGTTTTCAAAGTCATCTGTATTGTATTTATTGATATTCTGATTATTTGTCCTATTAATTATTGAAGAAAACATATTGGCTATAATTTCATAAGATTATTTGATTTGTCTATTTCCTTTTGCAGCTCTCTTCATTGTTCCTTTATCATTTTCTTGATATTCTGTTATTAGGACTGTAAATATTTAGAATTGTTGTATCTTTTTAATCAATTACTCCTTATACTGTCATGAAATTATTTTCTTTGTTACTGGTAATAGTCTTACCTGTGAAGTCTACTTTGATTGATATTAATACAGGTATTCTAGTTTTCCATTGCTTAATGTTAGTATGGTAATATCTTTTCCCATCCTTCACTTTTAACTTATTTGCATTTTTATATTTAAACCACATGTAGGCAACGTATAGCTGATGTTTCTTTTTTTACCAAACTGAAAATATAGATCTTCTAATAGAATGTTTAGATCATTTGTATTTGTTGTAATTATTAGTAAAGTTAGGTTAAATTTACCATCTTCCTCTTTTTGGTTTGACCCATATGAGTTTTGGAAAAAGAGAAGACACATAGAAACAAGAATATAGAAACAAGAATGGCATCTATAATTCCACCCTCTAGTGAGAAATACATTTATAGCTTTGGTGCAATCATTTTATTCCTTGATTACAAGTATATACAGAAAAAATATATTCACCTTCATACTACTACATAATTTTTAAAACTATGTCCACATTTTATTAGCATAATAACGCTACAAACCAACATTCTTTCACATAATTCATAACTTTCATGTCTGCTTATTTCTTAGGATAAATTCTTACATGCTAAGTCACTACCTAAAACTTTGAACTTTCTAAATTGCCCAAGATTTATGTTTATTAAAATATAAAGAAAAAAAACAAAAAATACCTTCAGCATTTTGGGACATAAAAACATCTAATTGTTTACAATTGTTTCTATTGTTTATGCTGGCCATTAATAGATAGATGATGGATAGATAGATAGATAGATAGATAAATTCATGTTTTCCATGACATTTTTTCTCTTTGATATTTTGACATATTTCTCCAGTCCAAAAATATCTCATTAATTTGTTAAAAACATTCAGAGTGTATATTTGCTATAAATAATTTATTGTTTTTAGCTTCTTTTGACTTTACTCATTTTATTTTTGGCTCAGTTATGCAATAATATATATTATTCCTTTATGACTTTTCCTATTGTTTCAGTTACCTAAATGTACATTCCAATAGATTTAGCTCATAATTAATTATTTTTATGTATTTGTTTGTTTGTATTTTTTAATATTGGTAACACATTTTGCTCATAAGACCATTCTGAACTTAGCTTTAGTATTAGGTATCAAGTAAAGCATAAATATATCCACTCTATTTATTAATCTAGTAACTAGCCTTTTAAAATTGCCATTTACATACTAAAAAGCCTCTTTTTTCTTTACAATGCATGAGGTAATTTTGATTGTTTCCCATAATTCTTAGACAAATAGCACATATTTTATTTGTAATTCTTTGTTAATATTAAACTAAAGCAGACTCAAGTCACTCTTGGACTTTTTGTACAATTAACCATATACTTTACCAACTACATTATATGTTTTTCACCATTTTCAACTCATTCCTGGCTACATTGCATAGTGTCAGATATCAATTTCAAAATTGGTGAGACTGCTGACTCTATTTGAGGCTTAAGCTTAAGGATGCATGGAAAAAAATAATGGTCATTATGAATATTCAAATCAACTATGAGATCTTGAGAAAAGCGTTGGGATGTGAACATAAAACAAGAAAGCAAATGTCTGAACTCTCAACTCTTGAGGTTCTCTACACTGGAGGATAACCACTTTCTAAACCCTGATTTGTATGATTCAAGAATTCGCATCAGCATTCTTGTTATCCTCCATGGTCACTTTCTTAACATTGGTCTTCTACTTATTTGCAATTTTCCCGATCCTCTGAAATATATGGTTTCTTTTTGCTTTGATCGGTAACTTAATAGCAGCTCATTTACACTGCAGCATTCACTATAGAATTTGGGCTCTGCATTTATTCTCCATCATATTCAGCTCACCTTCAAGGGCTTGAGTGATTTTACTGCTCATGTAGGTAACCTATTTAAAACTCTATTCTCATGTTATTTCTTGAACTCCAATGACTTACCTCTTTATGGCCACATTATGAACATTTAAAAAATATAGATACAATATAAGTGTGGATCTACAGAATTATGTCTACAACTTCTCCATACAGTTCTCTATTGATGAATGATACGGTTTGACTCTGTGTCTCTACCCAAATCTAGTATTGAATTTTAATCCTCACGTGTCAGGGGAGGAACCTGGTGAGAGGTGATTGGATCATGGGAGCTAGTCCCCCCATTCTGTCCTAATGATAGTAAGTGAGTTCTCACAAGATACGGTGGTTTAAAAGTGTTTGTCAGTTCCCCTCTCACTCTGTCTCTCTCGCTGCCATGTAAGATGTGCTTTGCTTCCCCTTCATGTTCTGCCATGATTGTAAGTTTCCTGAGGCTTCTCCAGCCATGTGGAACTGTGAGTCAATTAAAACTCCTTTCTTTATAAATTACCCAGTCTCAGGTAGTAACTTTATAGTAGTGTGAGAACAGACTAATACAATGGTGTTCTCTGCACTTACTTTTCAAAGTCATTGAAATTTTCTTTTCTATATTCTTTGCTGGTATCTGCTTCTATCACATTTTCCCTTATATTCAGCCTAAATTTTGCTCTATCTTCTGACATGATTCTGCACTACAGCAGCATCCTGGAGCCATTTTGTTTCCTAGTCTCTACCTCAAGGGCCCTGTACCTATGCTAAACCCTGCTATTTGTCTCCTCTATTCCTATATGATGTAGAAATGCAGTCAAATAGATAAATAGATTGATTTTTCATAGAGATACAGTTTCAAACATCAGCAAAGGCTTCAATGCCAATTATCAACCTATTTACTTTTCCTTGGTCACCTATGATATGCTTTCCCTATGATAATCATCCTAAATCCTAAACCTTAGTAAATCTTCATAAGTGCCATATCTTATCTCCACTCTATCATTCACAGCAGACAACTGTGCTTTCTATAATATGGAGAAAATTAGGAATAATAATGTTATCCTTTAATGTCCATCTTTGTATGCACAGAAACATATCAATTTTTCAGACCTACTGCTAACCATCTTCTGCTCAGTAGGCTTTTGCTACTCTACTTTAAAGATAATCTGTAAGGAAATTGAAATCATATTTCTATGGATGATGTGAAACAGCTTGCAGTTCATGTGTTAGAATTGAAATATGGAAATGAAGTATACACAATATACTGCTAACAGTAATCTTACTCTCTCTTCTCTTACATAAAGTTGAATACGCAATTTAGAATTCCATGTGCATTACCCATCTTATTTCTTGTAAATGGTTACAAAAGAAATATAATTTTGGAGATGAAGCAAGAAGAAGTAGTAGATATGAATCAGCCACCCCATTGAGCCACTCCAGATGATAGCCAATGTCTCAGGCCTTGATCCTCTTATGGAGTCAAGAGAAACATTCAGCTGGAATAGTCTCTTGTTAGGTGATCCAACATTTTTTCTCAAATCTGGCTTTAATTAATCATATTTAGAGTTACTTCGTGCAAGGTAAGGAAACGCATTTAATTGTTGTTCCAAATGTATACTTTTTTTCTTCGTTATTGCATATTTCAATGCAATAGTGAATGGAAGCAAACAGACACATTTAGCTTACCAAAATACAAACTCAGAAGTCAGAGATTTTCCCTTTAAATTATAGAAAATGCAATTTTAGTTTTACATTATTTTGTTCATACTGGTCTTTGGATGATCTTACTGAATCACCAGATAATTATTTATAATTATCAGTCATGCATTATTTATAAATAAAAGAAAACAATATTCTCAGACTAGTGTTACTTTAAGTAGAGTAAATTTAAATAGATATTTGTTGATCCAGTTTTATATGGCTTTATTTTCAATTTGATTTTTTTTTTTTTTTTTTTTTTTTTTTTTTTTTTTTTTTTTTTTTTTTTTTTGAGATGGAGTCTCGCTCTGTCGCCCAGGCTGGAGTGCAGTGGCGGGATCTCGGCTCACTGCAAGCTCCGCCTCCCGGGTTCACGCCATTCTCCTGCCTCAGCCTCCCAAGTAGCTGGGATTACAGGCGCCCGCCACTACGCCCGGCTAATTTTTTGTATTTTTAGTAGAGACGGGGTTTCACCGTTTTAGCCGGGATGGTCTCGATCTCCTGACCTCGTGATCCGCCCGCCTCGGCCTCCCAAAGTGCTGGGATTACAGGCGTGAGCCACCGCGCCCGGCCTTCAATTTGATTTATTTATAGAATTAGGTAAAAAAATTATCATGCTATTTTTAAAGGACATTGAAACCAACCGTAACTACTATTTGTAGAATAGTGGCTTTTACAGAGATCCAGGATCCGTATTCTGTTCTCAGCTGAATGACCAACCAGCTATTACCTTAAGTCAAATGATCTCTAGAGAACTCTTTTTTTTTAATGAACAAAATCAGAAAGTTACATGGAAAATCACTCTAGTATTTTTCAGGTCTACTATACTATGAATATATTGACTTAAATGTCCTGGATGTAATAGTACCATCAATACATGAAGGGCACTGCGAAGAATACAAGTGTTGTTTCCTGGTGTCTCATCCAAATCCACGGTATAACTGGCTAAAGTGCAGGAGGTTTTGATTATGTGTCATATTTATTTTGTTTCAGTCATAAAGATTCTAAGTTTCTTCATTCTCTGATGCTGCTATAGTGATAGAAACTCAGAAATAATTTATTATGTTCTGCATTATTTAAAGAAGCAATTTTCCTTTTCTGACTTAAAAAACTAAAGGCTAAAAGGTACTACACATAATACTTAAGCACTAGAAGGAAATATCTAGTGTCAAGTCACTAAGACAGTAATTATATTTTAATTAAAATAAGCCTAATATAGACCTTGTTATCTAAGTTTTAGCATATTAATAACTTCTGAGAATTTAATTAATATTCAATAATTTTAATTTGATTCATAAAATGCAATATTTAAAATACCTATATAAATAAGTGAACAGAAAAAATTTCTAGAAGACAATTACGTGATGTCATAGCATGCATGGGTGAAAGATGTAATCAAAATGCAATACAGGTAAAAAGATATAATAAGAGTATGAAAGAATTATGGATGTGATTTCAGATTCCACATTGCAACCAATCTTTAGGAAAATATCACTTGTCAAAGTCAGCATAATATAAAATCAGAATATCCACAGTTATGTAAAAATATTCTCAAAACACTTCTCTCTTTTTTGTACCTGTGTAATACTGAATTTTCTTTATACTATCTAACCAAATATCATATTGCAACACACTGAATGCAGAAGAAATATGAGAATCTAGCTGTTATTATTAAGCCACAAATTAAAGAGATTTGTAAAAACCTAAAACAATGCCATAAAACATAAAATATAAAGCCTATATTATTTATGTTAACATGAAGTGGAGTTATTATTGCTTTATTTATTTATTTATTTATTTATTTATTTATTTATTTATTTAGAGACAGAGTCTCACTTCAATGCCCAGACTGGAGTACAGTGTCAGGATCACAGCTCACTGCAGCCTCAACTTACCAGACTCAGGTGATTCTCCCACCTCAGCCACACACATAGATGGGACAACAGAAGTGTGCCACCACCCCTGGCTAATTTTTTGTATTTTTTTTGTAGAGACAGGGTTTCATCATGTTACCCAGGCTGATCTTGAACTCCTGGGATCAAGCAACCTGCTGGCCTTGGCTTCCCAAAGTGCTAGGATTACAGTCGTGGGCCACTGCACCTGTCCTGCTATCTTTAAATGAATTAATTACGACATTTATAATTTTGTCATTTTTGTTTTCTGAATATTAATATATGATCCTCATAAACAAAAGCTCTTGGATGATCTATGTTTTTTAAACAATATAAAGAGATTCTGAAACCAATAAATTTCAGAACCGTTGGCCTTTATATTTTATATGTAGTGAAGGAGTAAATGTGAGGAGTATAAATCAAGGAGCCTGACATATACTTAAGGGTACCATGCATATTGCTTATAATTTGAAATATATAAAAATGAATAAATAGAAATTTCACTAAGACATTATCATTTGCTCTCTTTGCCTAATAGGATTAAAATGTAATTATTTATTAAAATAAACTTTATTTATGGTTTTCAACATTTTCTTTTCAATACCCAAATGCTTTTCCACTGTAAACAACTATGAAATCAGATAAAACAATGATACCACTCTTTTCAGGCTGTGGACTACACCGAGATTCCTTAGAGAAATAAATTTCATGTGACAAGCCCTAAGATGGCCTGTTCTCCACCATTCAAGGTGTAGAGAACTGGTGCCTGAGTAGAACACATTGGCCACACTGACGTGAAGCAGAAGTGTTCAGAATAAGAAGCAAATGAAATGACCAGTCTCTGTAGAGCAGATAATTGAAATGGAAAGACCTGGTAATAAGAGCACCCCAGATAGCTATGAAAGGTATCTCTACAAATCTTTGGCAATGCACTGAGGTGTGCATGCCCAGCATGAGACCTCCCAAAGCTTATCAGATGGGTGAGGCTATGGGGTTGAAAATGGAACTGAAATATGTGTGACAGTTGCACACGGTCTTGGAGGAAGAAGAGAGCTGGGGCACTTCGTAGCTCAGGGTATTTTGAGGTGGAGAAATAGTCTCAATATCACAAAATACCTCTGGCATCCATCTGAGATAACAGCAAGTCTGGTCTTAGGGATAATAACCACACCCTAGAATAGAACTTAAACAATGCTGGCCCCAACATAAGCTAAAACCAAGCCTTGACAACATACATAAACAAAAGGTTAGAGATTAGTCCTGCCAAATTGGAAGGATTTAAGAACACATTGCTTTCCTTAGATCTTCACTAAGGAGCACTAGGCTTAAAACTAAGACTACAAACTTCCAAGGTAATCATCCAACAATTTAACTATTTACTGAAAATTAAGAACCTTCAGAAGACAATAACATAATCTAATCTCTATGGTGTATTAACTATAATTTCCAGTGTTCGATCAAAAATCACTATACATAGAAAGCAACTGGAAACTATGAGATTTATAGGCAAGAAAAAATGTAGGACAATATGACTAATGGCAAAAGGCCTAATGTTGAATTTAACAGATAAGAACTCTAGGAAAATTTTGTGGCAAGACAGAGAGAGTGTGTGGGTGTGTCTGTGTGTCTGTGTGTGTATATGCATATATATATATATATATATATATACACACACTCCGAGTATGCACATGCATATATACACTCCAAAGAGAATAAAACCCCGAACAGGATCGTAATGAATCAAGCCTAGACAAATTAGAATATATACATATATATGCATATCTATATAGATACACAGAAACACACACATACTCTATTATTACTAAATATATTTATATGTATATATGCATACATAGTAAAAGTGTATTCAAAGCAATAATAAAAATTTGTTAATTGTTAAAAAATATGTTTTCAGGCCGGGCGCAGTGGCTCATGCCTATAATCTCAGCACTTTGAGAGGCCAAGGCAGGCTCGAGGTCAAGAGATCGAGACGATCCTGGCTAACACGGTGAAACCCTGTCTGTACTAAAAATAAAAAACATAATTAGCCTGGCGTGGTGGCGGGCGCCTGTAGTCCCAGCTACTCAGGAGGCTGAGGCAGGAGAATGGCGTGAACCCGGCAGGCGGAGCTTGCAGTGAGCCGAGATCCCGCCACTGCACTCCAGCCTGGGGGACAGAGTGAGACTCCGTCTCAAAAAAACAAACAAAAAATAAATAAATAAATAAAAATATATGTTTTTAATGAGTGCAGATGGGAAATTTTAGCATAGAGTTGGAAACTTCAACTATAAAAAAGAAATTCTAGAAATATAAAATTTCTAGAAAACTATAATGACAGTATTTGATAGGCTTAAAAACTTATTGAAGGTGACATATAAAGCATTTGAAGGAAGATCAACATAAATTATCCAATTTGAACAACAAATTGAACAGGAAGATGTGAAGCCACATGCATCTGTTTACAATATCAAACTTTCTAACATAGACAAAATAGTATTCTAGAGAGAAAAGAAAACTATGTTTAAGAAAACATAAATGTCTGAATAAATAATATCCAGAGTGCCCAAATTTGATGAAAAACACTAACCCAAAGACCCGAGAAACTCAGCAAACTGCAAACAGAATAAAAATAAAATGCATCAAGCCTAGACAAATTAAAAGCAAACTTCTGAAAATTAAAGATAAGAAGACAATCTTCAAAGTAGCAAGATTGGGAGAAGGGCATATTGTACACAAGAAACCAGGAATAATAATGATTACTGTTTTTCTGTCAGAAATAATGGAAGCTTGAAAACATCTCTATGAAATCCTTTGGAGTAGATGTCAAAACAAGATTCTGAATCAGTGATATCCAATAAAATATGAGAATTTATCACCAGCAGCTTACTATCCTTTATTCCACTTAGAGAAGAGACATATATATATTTTTTTCAGTATACTGAAAACACTGCCACTGGTTTATATGGACATTTTTCCTACTGTTTTTTTTCAGAATGCAATAATTACGTTGACTACAGAGGAGAAAACTCTTCCTGATTAAAACGAGAAAAGGAAAAACGAGTGGCTATTTTTCCCTCACCACCAGAGAGAATGCTCTTCCCAATCCAAAGACAGAATTTGGCTAAATAATACCTCATTTCTGAGAAAAATCTTTTCAGTCAACTGCAGTCAAGTTCATTTAACGTGTTTATTTAGGATCATAGACTGGTGAGAGAAATGTGTAGACCAGTATTTCATTTTAGTAATGTTTGCTTGATTTTCTATGTTATGAGAGTATAACGCGTGAAATAATGAATACTACTCTAAAATTATTATACTTGTGTTTACATGTGAAATAGACATATTTCCCTGGAGGGTAAAAAGTATATTTATATAGTATGCAATTTCTAGTCTTGTCAAATTTTTTTGTGAAAACGTTTATATAGATAGATTGTATATAAATATAAAAAGATATTAAGAATGAAACAAATTTAATGAGTTTCACACTATGTTCAAAATTTACCCCAAATATAGAGGTTTACATTTAGAATTGTTTAACTCGATTTCTATTCTGATTAATGCAATAAGTTTATCTGTTGCTATATTTAAGTTGTTGAATACATATTATAGTTTCTAATTTTTTAAGCTTTAGCAATAAAACTTTAAATTCTAAAACAAACCAGTGGTAACATATGAGAATAATACCTATAATTTATCCTTTTATATTATTTTCCTTTCAAAGTTTAAAGTTTTTTCTGGTATTTATTTAGTGTTGTATTAATACTCCATTTACGATTTTCCTTCTTTATAAGTTCATTTGCTTTAATTTATGCTTTGAAGATTATGTAATTGGATTTAGGTTTCATGACTATATAAAAGGAAATAAACCATTCACACTCATCATGAGCTGTATGTTCATAGCTCATAGCTCGAGTTCATTTAATTCAAAAGTTTTTTTTAATATATGGTGACGATTTTTCAAAGTAATACTTTTTTGCCTATTTTATGACAATGTTTAAATCAGTAAGCTTTAGTAAATTATCTATAAACGCACCTCAACAAATTGAACTAGCAAATAGGAAATTCATGCTTTAAATAAACCGTTTGTTGGACTGATCATATTGGCCACATATCTATCAAGTCTCTGTTTTACTCTGTGCGCTTTAGACACAGCAATGCTGATTCATCTTGGAAGGAAGAATATTAAATGCATTTCTTCTTTGCTGACCAGATGAATGTAATACTTCACTAGTTTTATTTAACACATCAATATAGAGAAAATATTTCAATGGATTTCAGCTGTTTTATCTGCAAATGTTCTGAATACATGAGAGGGTGGGGTAGAAAGGGGCCACTATGAATATTAGATGAAAATGTTGATTTTTTTTTTTTTTTTTTTTTTGAGATGGAGTCTCTCTCTGTTGCCCAGGCTGGAGTGCAGTGGCGCTATCCCGGTGGTTGACTGCAACCTCCTCCTCCCGGGTTCAAGCGATTCTTCCACTTCAGCCTCCCGCGTAGCTGGGATTACAGGCACCCGCCATCATGCCTGGCTAATATTTGTATTTTTAGTAGAGACGGGATTTCACTATGTTGGCCAGGCTGGTCTTGAACCCCTGACCTCTGGTGATCCACCCGCCTTGGCTCCCCAAAGTGCTGGGATTACAGGCGTGAGCCATCGTGCCAGGCAGAAAATGTTGTTTCTGATGTGAGTGTGATCATATCAGTCCATTAGGGTATGCTAACACAACTTTCAGGGAAATTGGAAGGCTGTTGATATGGTAGACACGGGTTCCTGATGCATTCTCTTCATCTTCTGAGATCTTTTAGTAATAGCTGAAAGTGAAAAAATGTTGTCAATTAAGATCTGAAGTAATAATCAAGACAGGCACAAAGAGAAGCTTTTCTTTTTTAAACTGAAAAGACTATTAAGTGGCAAAGCCAGATGCTATAGATTAAGCGCACAGCTACACTAAATCAGCATTCTCTTTGTTAAAACACCTTGTCTTTTCTGAGCCCTTTTGCTAATGCTGTCAAAAACTCCCTGATGTTAAAAATTTTGAATAAATAATTACTTTATAGATTCTGTACTTGTAATTTATTTAGGTGACTGTCAGAGATGGAAGAGTTATGAATTTGTACCAAGTTATCCATCTGTTAACTTGCAGAAAACAGTATTTTTATTAGGCTTTTATTTTTCCAGTCCTTAATCCAAAACAATGTCATGACATCTCATCTTTCTCTGAGAAAGTGAATATCATGGACAATAGTAATTAAAATTCAGATCACACTTCCTTCTTGGCTTATTTAAGGTCTTCAATTTCTGACGTATTTACTAAAAATTCTTCTCTCTTTTAGATCACTAATTACCAAAGACTGCTAGGCTGGCAGAGTTTTAATGTGATTGAAAGATTGTTTTCAGTGGCAAGAAACGAATCAGGCAAGAGAAAGCTGGGTTTTGCTGTGATAGGCATTGTTTAATTTAGCTCTCTGGGGCTTCCAGAAAATCCTCCTTGTTCTGTTATGTTATAAATATTACCCTCCTGGAAACATGAGGGAGAAAGAAGGAAATTTCACTTCTGGTTGGTTAGCCTTCCACACAAAAAGTAACCTATACTTTCCTGGGTATTTGTTTTAGCTTGATTATGTAGCTTTTAAGTTAGTGGTTTGATCTAAGCCTCCTTGATCTGATGGATTCATATTGATTTTATTCAAAATACAGCTGTGAGGCCTATGCATTCATTCACATGGGTAGAGATAGAAAAAAAAATCACTGCTAAAAAATACAGTATAAAAAGAAATACAAACATGAAGTAGATCCATGTATCACTTAAGAAGCAGAATGGCAATTGCTTTCTTTAAAGGGAAGAGGTAGACAGAAGATTTTTATTTTTCCATAGTTATATCATTCTTTTACAATTTTGAGTTATTTGTGTGGAAAGTTAAAAAACACCAACAAACATCTAAACTTGAAAAATCAAGAAAGAGAAGCATAATCATATTATCTAGACCCATGGGGATAATGACTCAAACAATAAAATCATAAATATTTAAAGGAGTTGGATAGAGATAATGAGTGAAGAAGGTATGATTTATATACTACAACTTTTCATTGACCTGTGTATATTCTTTCACCACTACCACACTGTCTTTATTACTGTAGCTGTATAAAAATCTTGACGTCAACAAGCATGAGTCCTTCTACTTTGTTTCTTTTTATAGTATTGTATTGATTAATCAAAGTTGTTTATCTTTCCATATAAACAATATAATAATTTTATTGGTATTTATAAAATCGCTTGCTAGGGTTTTTGCTTAGAATGCATTGAATCTTTGGATTAAGTTGGAAATAACTGATATCTTGACAATATTGATTCTTCTAATCTATGAATATACAATATTTCTTGCTTTATTTAGATCTTCTTTGATGTATTTTATCAGAGTTTTATCATTTTCCATATATAAATTTTGCATGTGTTTTGTAAGATTTATGCCTGTTTCATTTTATGGTGCATTTTGTAGACATCACTGTATGTTTCTTTTTCACATTTCAAATTTTAATTTCAATTTTTATTGCTGGTGTATGGGAAAGTAATTGATTTTTGTATAGGAACCTACATTCTGAAACTTTGTTATACTCACGGGAGATTTTTTTTTTAATTCTTTGAAATCCAAATAGATAATCACATCATCTGTGAACAAACACAGCTTTATTTCTCCTTATTAAATTGCATACTTCCTATTTCCTTTTCTTATTGCACTAAGTATGACTTATAGTACAATGTTGAATAGAGTGGTGAGAGAGGATATCCTTCCTTGCCTTGTTGCTAATGTTAGAGAGAAAGCATTTAAATTTTCACTATTAAGTATGATGTTAATTGTGGATTTTTCATAAGTCTATGAAAGTCTATAGTTCTTTAAGTTAAAGAAACTATCTTAACTCCTAGTTTAATGAGGGTTTTTATTTTGAATGTGTGCTGGATTTTGTAGGTGTATTTTTTCATCAATTGATATGAATATATAATTTTTCTTCATTTGTCCGTTGATGTGATGAATTACAATGATCGATTTTCAAATTTTGTACCAGGCTAGCTGTAATATACATGTAATAAATCCTAGTTGCTCATAGTATATACTTTTAAATTACATATTTATATCTAATTTGCTATTTTTTGAAGATTTCCTCATCTCTATTCATGAGAGATATTGATCTTTTCCTTTCCAGTGAGTTTTTAATCAGATTTTACAATAAGAATAATCTGGATTTATGAATTGAGTCAGGAAGTTTTTCTCTAGTTTTCATTTCCTGGGAAAAAATCACATAGAATTGGTATCCTTACTTTTTGGTAAAATTCACCATTGAAACTATGTAGGCTTAGTGATTTCTTTTTTGAAAAGCTATTTGTTATAAATTAAATTTTCCTGATAGAAATAAGCCTATTCATATCAACTATTTATCCTCATGTGAATTGCAATAGTTTGTGTTTTTTAAGGTATTGATCCATTTTATCTATGTCATCAAAATTGTGAGCATAGAATTGTTGATAGTATTCCTTTATTATCATTTTAATGTCTCTAAAATCAGAGTGATGACCACATTTTTTCTGATATTGGTTGTTTTTGTTCTCTCTTTTTGTTCTTACACCTGGCTAATGAAAGTTGATAGATTTTATTGATCTTTTTTCAAAGAACAAGCTTTTGGTCTGTTGATTTTCTTATTTTTATTTTTTTGTTTACAACTCCATTGGTTTCTGTTCTAATTTTATTATTTATTTTATTTTGCTCACTTTTGCTTTAAATTGTTCTTCTTTCTATAATTTCCTAAAGTGAAAGCTTAGATTATTGGTTTTGGATTATTTTCTTTTATTCTCTAATATATACATTTAAAACTGTAAATCTTCCTCTAAGCATTTTTTAATGAGTCTCACAGGCTCTAATAAATTGGATCTTCATTTCGTTCAAAATAATTAAACATCTTTTCCTAAAACTTTTTGTTTGACCCATGTATTATTTAGAAATGTGATATTTAATTTCCAATTGGGGAGTTTTTCGACTTTTTTTTTAATTTTTGATTTCTAGTTTAATTGTATTGTAGACTAACAATATATTTTTATGATTTCTATTCTTTTAAATTTGTTGAGGTTTTTTATATGGCCTAAAATTGGTCTATGTTGGTGAGTGTTCTATATGCTTTTGCCTCCCTTTTGATATGCCTTCTAATTTTTTTGTTGACTTCCACACATGATATATCAGAAAATAGGAGCTTAAGTAAATAGGCCTTTAGTGTTAGGTTTTATGTTTACTTGGCAACAAATTGGCAGCATTTAATATTTGCCATAGTAATAGGTGCCAGACAGTTCGACCCTTTAAATTATTCTAGTACCCTTATTTTTGTCTTCAGTACCTTCTTTGGGATTTCCTAAGAACTCCACCTTACTTAGGGTCTATCTCACAGGTTTTTAAGTTGTAATCTACTGGGGTGTTTTGTTTTGTTGTTGTTGTTTAGAGACAGACTATCACTCTGCTGCCCAGGCTGGGGTGCAGTGGCACAATCTCGGCTCACTGCAACCTCCACCTCCCAGGTTCAAGTGATTCTCCTGCCTCAGCCTCCCAAGTAGCTGAAACAACAAGTGCGCACCACTTCACTAGGCGAATTTTTGTATTTTTAGTAGATACGGGGTTTCACCATGTTGGTTAGGCTGTTCTTGAACTCCTGACCTCAGGTGATCCATCCGCCTGGGCCTCCCAAACTGCTGGAATTACAGGCATGAGCCACCGCACTCCACCCGTAATCCACTGCTATAGAGCCCTATTGATGTGGGAGTATGGTGTTGGGGGAGAAAAAAAAAGAACAGTGAATTATTATTTTAGGTAAAATCTCAGTTTTATAGAAGACTTGTCTACCTGGGCAGTGTCCTTCATAAGTGATTTTTTTTTTTTTTTTTTTTTTTAGCTTTTTTTCCTTCCCTGGTGACACAGGAGGTTACAGGGGCTAAAGTCTTGTAACTTCCCTCTAGAGAGGATAAAGTTTTGGTAGAGACTTTTCTCTGGAGTGTAAGCCTTTGTTATTTAATAGCTCTCTGGGTGTATTTCACAGTCTTTCTTTCTTTCTCTTTCTTTCTTTTCTTTTCTCTCTCTCTCTCTCTCGTCTCCTAGTACCACAAGAGGTATCTCACTTGGCTCTTCAACATAAGAAACTGTGAGGCTGCCAGATATAAACCCGTGAATGCATGGGGATCCCTGTGACTACCGCTTCCTTCCGATTCTTCTTCTCTCATAAGACCTTAGTCTCCAGCAATTTGTCAAAATTACCATTCAAGTGTTTCTACCACTTTATGGCCCCAGTTGTGCATGCTCACAGATGTTGACGCTGACTCTCTATATTCACTTGTCCTTCCAAATTTTGGAGTGGTGATTTTAACTTGAGATTTCAGTTTTCTGGTGGATACAAAAGTCATTGATTTTTGCTATGTTCTGTTTTTATTGTTGTATGTATGCTATTAATAACTCTCAAGCTCTTTAAACAGCAGAAATCCCAAGTCTTAAAATAACTTTTTATACTTTTAGACTACCTTATCTGTTATAATTTTCTTTGTAAGAATACATTTGAAAGAGGATAAATGTAACTGCAGGATAAACAGATGGTGTGACATATGCTTGGAGAAAGAAAGTCATATGAAAAAAGATTGATAATTTATTTTTTGCTTCAGTTTGTCCTGCATGTTACGGGAAATGTGAATTCCAGTCTTAGTTTTTCTACTGGTTATCTGTGTGAATTTCAGCAAGTTACAAAATGTATCCTGATCTCTGTTTTCTCATTTATAAAATGAGTCACTTAGATGAGATAATTCTAAAATGTTTTCTAGCTATAAATTTTTAGCTTATTTGATATATAAAAGGGCCATCACTGGTGATATTGATTTATTTCTTTCTTCATTCATGTATTTAATGTATATTAATTGATTTTTAATTCTGGGCTAAGTTAAACATCATCATGAAGAACCATGTTTACTTAGAATGCGTATTATATTGCAAAGAGGCAGCACATAAAGAAGTAAAAAGAAAAACATTGGGAGGGACTTTAAGAAATCTTTGATTTACTTTAAAAACACTTTTAATTTTTATTTATTTATTTATTTATTAGTTTATTTATTTATTTATTGAGTCAGAGTCTCACTCTGTCACCCAGGCTGGAGTGCAATGGCGTGATCTCGGCTCACTGTAACCTCCACTTCCCAGGCTCAAGCAATTCTCATCCCTCAGTCTCCCGAGTAGCTGGGATTACAGGCGCCCGTCACCACACCCAGCTAATTTTTGTATTTTTAGTAAAGTCGAGGTTTCACCATGTTGGCCTGGCTGGTCTCTTTGGCCAGGCTGGTCTCGAACTTCTGACCTCGTGATCTGCCCACCTGAGCCTCCCAAAGTGCTGGGATTACAGGCATGATCCACCACGCCAGGCCTAATTTTTATTTTTAATTGTAAAATGACAAGTTAGTTTGTATATATTCATGGGGTACAAAATGTTGTTAATACTTATGAATTTAATGTGAAGTAATGAAATCAAGTGAATTAACATATCCATCATATCAAGTACATAACTTTTTTTGTGGGGAAAATATTTGAAAAATATTTGAAATTTACCCTCTTGGAGATTTTGAAATGCACAATACAATACGATTTACTATATTCATCATGCTATACAATATATATCCAAGAAAAAGAAATGTACTTTTTCTATTCGAGGCTTTGTATCCTTTGACCATCATCTCCCTATTCCCTTTGCCTCCTGCCTCTCATAGTCACCATTCCACTCTGTATTCTTTTGAGTTTGATGGTTTTAGATTTTACAAAAAATGAGAACATGTATCTTATGTTACTTAGTATAATATTCTCCAATTCCAACCATGTTGTTTGTTGCAAAGAAGAATATCTTCTTTTTTAACAGTTTTAAAATACTTTTTCAAGACATATATATATACACACACACACATTGTATACACATACATACAACGTATACATATATGTATCAACACACACATACGATGGAGTACTATTGTATGTGTATATATACATAACACTATATTTTATACACACACACACACACACCATATTATCTTTATCCATTTATCTGTTGATGGACATAGGTTCATTCCATATCTTGGCTATTGTAAATAATGCTGCAAATAATTTGGGAGTGCAGATATTTCTTTTACATACTAACTTCAAATCTTTAAATACCCAGAAGCGGGGTTGCTGTATTAGACAGTAATTTCATTTTTAGTTTTTTGAGATATCTTCATACTGTTTTCCTTAATGGCTATACTAACTTACAATCCCACCAACAGTGTACAAGTCTCCCTCTTCTATACATTCTCACCAAAAATTGTGATTTTTTTTTTTTTTGCCTTTTTGGTAATAGCCATTCTGACAGGTGTGGTGTATTATTTCACTGTTATTTTAATTTGAATTTTTTTAATGATTAGTGATGTTGAGCATTTTTTCATATGTCTGTTGGCCACATGTATGTCTTCTTTTGTAAAGTATTTATTCAGGTCCCTTGCCTATTTTTTGACTGGATAATTAGTTTCCATTATATAGAGTTGTTTGTGTTCCTTACTTATTTTTTATATTAACCCCTTATCAAATATATGGCTTGCAAATATTTTCTCCTGATCTGTCATTTGTTTCTCCACTCTGTTGTTCGCTTGCTGTGCAAAGCTTTTTAGTTTCATGTAATCCCATTTGTCTATTTTTGCTTTTATTGCCTGCACTTTCAGTGTAAAATCGAGATAAATTATTGCCCAAACCAGTGTCGTGTCATTTTTCTATGTTTTCTTATAATAGTTTTACAATTTCAGGTCTTACATTTCAATGTTTAATCTATTTTGAGTTTGTTTCTTTTATGATGTTAGAGAAGGGTCCTTCACTCTTCTGAATATAGATATCCAGTTTCTTCAACATCATTCATAAGAGTGTCCTTTTCCCATTGTATATCCTGGGTATCTTCATCAAAGCTCAATTGACCATACAAATATATGTTCATTTCTATGATATCTGTTTTTTTGTTTGGTCAATGAATCTATGTTTATGGCAGCACCACACTGTTTTATTTTCTACAGCTTTATATTACAGTTTGAAATCAAGCAATGTGATTCCTTCACCTTTGTTTTCTTTTTTTTTTTTTTTTTTTTTGCTCATAATTGTCCAGGTTATTTGGGATTTTGTGTGATTCCATATAAATTTTGGAATTATTTATTCTATATTTGTAAAAAATGACATTGGAATTTTGATAAGGATTGTATTTAATCTGTCGATCACTTTGGTAGTATGGATATTTTAACCATAATTTTTTCAATCTATGAACGTGGAATATCTTTCCATTTATTTGTGTCTTCTTCAATTATTTTATTTTTTAATTAATTAATTATTATTATTATTTTAAGGATTTTCACTCTTGTTTCCTAGGCTGGAGTGCAATGGTGCCATCTCGGCTCACTGCAACCTTTGCCTCCCAGGCTCAAGAGATTCTCCTGCCTCAGCCTCTGGAGCAGGTGGGATTACAGGTGCCCACCACCATACCTGGCTAATTTTTTGTACTTTTAGTAGAGACGGGGTTTTACCATGTTGGCCAGGCTGGTCTTGAACTCCTGATCTCATGTAATCTGCCCACTACAGCCTCCTAAAGTGCTGGGATTACAGGAGTCAGTCACCGTGCCGGGCCTTCTTCAATTATTTTCATTACTGTTTTATAATTTTCAGTCTACAGATACTTTACCTTCGTGATTAAATTTATTCCTATTTTATTCTTCTTGTAGCTATTATAGATTAGATTGTTTTCTTGATTTCTTTTTCAGAATTTTTTTTGTGAGAAATACTAGTGATTTTCACATGTTGATTTGGTATCCCTTACATTTGCTGTATCTATTTATTAGTTCTGACAGGTTTTTTTGTGGAATATTTAGGGTTTTCTATATACAGGATCATGTCCTCTGCAAACAACAACAATTTCACTTTCTTTTCTATTTGCATGCCTTTATTTCCTTATCTTGACAATTGCTTGATGATGACTTCCAATATTACCTTGAATGGAAGTTGTAAGAGTAACTATCCATGTCTTCTTCTGGATCTTGGAGGAAAGAAATAAGTAAAAGTGTTTTTCTTCCAAATACATTAAAATGTCATATTTAAAAATATAGTAAATTCAGTGTGATATAATTGTGCTTAATTGGGAAAAGGGTACGGATGTTGATTGATATCATATCATTTATATGATAATTTGGGCAGTCAAAGAAGCTATTACAATGGAGAAAAAATATGGACTGAAACTTACATGGCAAGAAAAATTCAGCAAAACAGTTAAAAATACATCATTCCTGACAGAAAGATCATCAAGATTAAAAGCTCCACCTTGGAAAGAATTTTAATATATTTTGTAAAACAACAAAAACAAAACAAACAAACAAATGAAAAACAAAACTCATTTGGCTAAAAAAGAGAGAAATGGCAGAAAATGAGTCAAGATAAATAACCAAGAACCAGTTCATATATAACCTATTGTCCATAATATAAATTTGGTTTTAAGTCCAGGTACAATGGGGATCTATTGGAACAGAAAAGACAAACATCTGAACTATTTTAGTCTGGGCAAGAGAAGACAGTAGAGTGAATTGGGGAGTAGAAAAAGAGACAGCAAAATGTGAATGGTGCCGATGTCAGTTTTAGAATTAGAGGACACAGGGATTTTGAATGTGAGTGATAAGGAAAGGAGAAGTGATAAATAACTTCTAAGTTGTGGTCTTGAGCAGTTTGGTACATTGTTGTGCCATTAAATGAGATATGATGACAAGGAAGAGGAGTAAATTCAGGAGGAAGTAAACTTCTGTTTGAGCTATATTTGGTTTGTGATTTCTTTAGACATCAAAAGAAAAATGAGAGCTGTAAAAACCGGAAAAACATTGGCAGCTATTTTACTAGGTGAGGTGGCCTAGGGGAAGAACATCAATGAGCAACAAAAGAGAGACGATTGTGATCAAGATGTGAGGATCTCTACTGTAAAAGCATTTTAAATAAACATGAGGAAAAAATATATATTGCAAGAGCTCCATTGCAGAGAAGTGAAATATAGGACAGACGCGGTAATGATGCATGAACACAGCTTAGATATCTGGGAAAATAAGATAGAACTCAGAACTAAAATACCTAAAATAAACTTAAAGACTGAACATGAAGTGGTAAAGGAACTGTTTCTTAGCCAGAATAAATATGTTCAAGTTTAAATTAGAGTGGTATACAACCAACTCCAACAAATAAAAGAAACAAATTCAAGAAGAGACCAAATAAAAATGATTTACAAAGTCAAACATAAAGCTACTGTTTTAGACAGATGCAGCTTCCTACTAAAGATGCCTATTTTCCCTCTTAAAATGGGTAAGGAGACAGAGGAAGTCACCCTGGATCTTAACAGAAAGAACCATGTGAGCCATTTATGGAAGAATTAGTTCACATTTGTAGAAAGGACACCTACACTAAAAACTCTGTTACTTTTTTCAAGCTTAAATCAATACCTTTCATTCCTTAAATTAACATTTAAGACAACATTATTTCTTTCTCATGGCCACTTATTTACATCAACCTGATTTCGCTTCTCAATTATAAATAAAGAAGTTTAGAATGTGTGAGGTAATTCATTGAAACACCTTCATTTTCTTAAATAGATCAGGTTCAAGGCAATAGCTGTATTAAAGCCACATACCTACTTAGTGGAAAATCTTATTTTAGAACTCCTAATTCACCATATTGTGACTGTTTTTACTAGGACCTTTTAAATACAGGAAAAATTGGGAAGAAGAGAAATTTGCTTATGTCCTTTATAAAAAGTGTATTTATATGAATCACTCATTAATATTAGTTTATGCATGATTTATCTTATTTTTATTAAAATAAAAATCCATTTATATGAAGCAATAAGTCATATAAAATAAAAGAGGTTTTCTTTGATTAAAGGTTAATATTTAACTTTAAAAATGGTACTTTGATAAAATGAGTGGCTCAACAGTGCCATAATTTACTAACAATCTATTTAATATGGCTTTATTTTAAAAACGTTTTTTTAATGTGCTGGTATTTTTAAGTGAAGCATATATCTTCCAAGACATCTTTTTTTGTGGGTAGGTACTAAAATAAATCAATTACGAGAGGGCACTTTTGATTTTTATTTGAAAAATACTTCTTTTTTGAAAAGTGCTATTCTTTGTTCTGTATTTAATATTCATCAGTACTTTGTGAAATGATTTACGTATCTAAGGCCCCCAGGATGGGATTCATACAAAGGTTTTGCTGAAGCAAACAGCAACCTCCTAAGAACGCAATGTTGATGTAAGAAAGATTTTTATCCTAACTCCATGAAACCTAGAAGGCAGAATTTTCTCAGACTTACTTCACCCCACAAAGCCTGCACATAATTTTCATGGTTAGGAATGTAGGAAGTGATTCATCCTGCCAAAACTATTGAGTTATTTTCTAGAAAGGCTTGCCTACCTCAGCTTGTCAAGCACTGCATATATAAGTACTGAAACTGTTTATCCATGCAGTCTTTTGTATACAAGGGGAATTACGAGCATGTTTTGTCAATTCTACTTTTAAATAGTCAATACAGCAGAGATAGAGTAATTAATCATTCCTGGAATAGTATTTTCCTTAGCACGTAAGTCAGTATCATGTTAACGTTTTTTATTAATGAGTTACAGTCTTTATTTAATAAATGTGACTCTCATTGTCCACAATACTTGAGATTGACTGAGTTGCAGCTTATACAGGGCTCTCCACTATTTTAGGAAATTAGTTATTATTGTGTGGTCCAAAATACATAGCTTGATAGCACTTTGTTTCTTTTTTATTTATTTATTTTAGTTGACAATAAAAATTACATTTATTACGTGCAACATTATGTTTTGAAGTAGGTATACACTGTGGAATGGCTAAATTGAAGTAATTAACATATCTATTACCTCGTAAGCTCATTTTTTGTAGTGAGAACAATTAAAATCTACTCTCTCAACAATTTTCAATAATAAAATACAATTTTATTAACTATAAACACTATTGCTTATTCCACATAGTTCAAATTGTTGCAAGGTAATAAGGGACTCTGGATATCAGTGGAATTATTTAAAAATATGTGACTTTTTGTGGAGTTTATAGATCTGAGTCTATGTTTACGTTGTCTAAATAAGTTTCATGAACATGATAATGACAACAAAAGTTGTACTAGAATTAAAATTATGTGACTACTAATGTATTAATGTGGCATCAACTATTGCAACAGGAATTATTAAAGAAATTACATTTGAAACTACACAAAGACTGAGTAGGAGAGAAAAATAATTGGAATAAGATAAATAGAAAAGTAATGAACATTAGCAGTTAAGGGTATTTGTAGGTGTGCAAGAATTGTGAATACTTACATCATAGAGTATTTTGTAGTTTTCAAACATACCTGGCCGGTGATACTAACCAAATGAGAAAAGTAATGTGTAAGTGTCAGGAGAGCAGATTCTAGTATTACACTGCACTGAGATTATGTGCAGTATTATATGAGTATATGATCATGAGTATTATATGCATGGTCATCTAAAAAAATTTTAAAGGTCCTGTAGATGTCTAAGGTCTATTAAAATCTAAAATTTTGTGATATAAATGTTTATGTTTAACTTCCAAGAAAAATGAGTTATTTCTAGGACGCCCTCATTCCCTTGAGAAAAATAATTATTGAGGATTTAGGCAATGTGGATATAGTCGTTCCAGGCAAAGATAAGGTCCTAGATTTCAGGAAGCTCACATTCCGGGTTGCAAGCATAATTACATAACTCATTATCCAATTATAATTATGGGAAATGTTCCTCATTCATTCTCATTCAATGAGTATATACTAAGTGTCTATTTTGTATCAGACTCTCGGTCAGTGCTAGAGACAAAATGTTAAGCCAAAGCAAACATGGTTCTCATTTTCATTGAAGACAAAGACTAGTGAATTTGAACTGTATTAACCAGCTCATTACACAAATAAATACAAAAATGCAAACAGTTGTTATGACTTAATGAAACATAATTTATGAAAGTATATTAACAGCAACAAAAGGAGAATGATAGTCTGTGGTGCTCAGGAAGTTTTCCTGAAGGAAGTGACACAGGCTTTATGATTAGATTTTAATGAGACAAAGGTAGGGCCATTAGCACGAAATTTGAAAGACTGTGAGCAAAGTCCTCCTGATGAGCAGGAACATAGCACATTAAAGAAAGTTGTAAAATGGCATGGGATGTGGGGGTAAATAATTTTAAAAGTAAGTGTAAAAGATATCAGAGTGTAAAACTAGCTTGGTGTATGACATTGAGAGGGAGTAGCTTTAAATTAGTGAGAAAATAAATAGAAACACCAAAAGAACACTCCAGGAAGAAGAAATAATTTTCAAAAGATTTGAGGTCTAAGAACACTGAATACATGAAAGAATGAGTAGGTACCTAGAACAGTGACTCCCAATCAAAATGATATGCTCCTCAGGGGACATTGGCCAATGACTGGGAACATTTGTCACACCTAGTGGGGATTCTACAGGTGAGGAGAGGCAGAGATACTCTTAAATATTCTATGATGCACAAGATAAGCCCCCACAACAAAGAATTATCTGGTTCAAAACATCAGTATTTCTGAGGTGGTAAAACCGTGATCCAGAAAGTTGAGAACTAGAAAAATATGAATAGGAAATGTGGTTGGAGAGTTAAGTAACAATCATATTGATATGATCTGGCTCTCTGTCCCCACCCAAATCTTATCTTGAATGGTAATCTGAATTGTAATCCCCATGTGTTGGTGGAGGGAGCTTATGGGAGGTGATTAGATCATGGGGGCAGTTTCCTCGTGCTGTTCCCATGATAGTGAGCGAGTTCTCATGAGATCTGATGGTTTTATAAGGAGCTTTTCTCCATTTCAGTCTCCATTTCTCCTTCCCGCCACCATGTGAAGAAAGACATGCATTCTTCCCCTTCAACCATGGTTGTAAGTTTACTGAGAACTCCCCAGCCCTGCAGAGTTGTGAGTCAATTAAACATCTTTCCTTTATTAATGACCTAGTCTCAGACAGTTATTTATAGCAGTGTGAGAACGGACTAATACACACATAATTTTAGAATGTATAGTCAGTGCAATGGGAAAACATTGAAGAATTGTATGTAAAGAAGTGACATAGTGATAATCACATTTTGAAAAAATTACTTTGACTAACATGGGGAATGGATTACAGCAGAGGAAGATATAGCACAGAAATATTATAGCGTGTTGCACTAATGTGTGTAATAACTAAAAATAGATAAATTCAAAATTAGTACTAGTGGAGGTGGAGGAAAATGGTCAGATTCAAAAGATATTTAAGAAGGTACAGAGTGATTGGATCAGGGGCTAAGGGAGAAGGAATGACTTCCACGTTTTTCACTTGAGCAGCTGGACAGCTGGTGCTGATGTTTCCTAAACCAAGAATTCCAGGAAACTTGAATACCAGCTTCAAGGTAAGTTGGCCTGCTCATGTGCTTCTCCCGAAAACCTGGACAGATGGAAAATAGAACAAAATAAAATTTTGTGCAGGACACTTGGGATAATCCTGATATGAATAATTCAACTTAAGTTATAGCTTTTTTGATTTCAAGAGACAGAAATTTACCCATCTTCATAAACTTAATTAATTCAAATATCTAGAAATTTATAAGAGCATTTAATTTTGCTTCTATTTAAACAAACTTTTGATTGCTGTCCCCACAGCTCTTAAGTTTTTATGTCTATAGTTTAAATTGTTAATATGTCAGAAATTTTAGTATCTGTAAGCTTCAAACTCAAATTTTTAGGAAAGACAATTTGATTAGCTAATTGTGAATAACTTACTTACTCCTCACCTAATCAACTGTGGCTAGAATGGCTGGGTCATATAGACAACACATAATTGCTGCAGCTCCCATTGATGTAAATGTAGGTCTAATAAGGAAAGATTCTGGGTTGAGTAGGTTTCACAAATTATCCACTATAATATTCTCCACTGTCTGCCCAATCAACTTTTTTTTTATTTCTAGAGATAATTTGAACTTCAGATAACTGAATTATATCTTGTACCATGAAAAACACACTCTCTCTTCCCTAATGTCATTTCTATATATTGTATGTGAATGTAATGCCACAAAACCAGTAAATTCATATGACATCTTCCCTATATAATGCCCAGTATTTCCCTAGTTGATCCAGTTGATAGAAATCAGTAACGAGTGTAGTTAATAATATATTTTTTCAGTGTTGTCTATCAGACCGCTGTTTTGTATCATTTCAGATCATCATGGCCATACTTCTCTCTTATCCCTATTAGGAATGAAGTGACAACTTCCATGAAGGCACAAACCAGCTACATGGAGTTCTTACATACGATTGCACATGCACTCACATGCTCCCTCAGAATAGATAATCGAAATCGATTGCATAGCACCTCTGACGCTCAATTCTTCCTTGAAAGGAGAAGGACTCTATCCTTAGCTTCAGTCAGTTGTTCTTACCTGATGCAGTGAACTGTAGACTAGGTTCTGTAGTATAACAGGACTTCTGAGGCTTCCCATTTTGGAAGGAGTGGGTATGGAGATAGGAGAAATACATTTCTCAGGGGGAGAAAAAGTCATCCTTTTCTGGGGAAACATTCAAAAATAAGCCTCTAATAGCCCAATATGTCAGAAGTAGAATATCATTTTATTTAAACAAGCACAAAATATTGTATCTATTACATTAAATATTAACGTATGTTTTTCTTCCAAAATAAGTGAAGACTGATTGTGAGATGTGAACTCTTACATTTATTTTATGAAAATATTTTTAAAACTTGATTTGGGACATTTAGACAACTGTGTCCGATTCTACTTATGTTCAAACATGTCATCAAACCTGCAAATAAAAATAAAATTTATTATGCGTGTAACAAATAATACCAGAATTATATAATAGTATATTTTTTGATCCTAAAAAGATTTGTATGGGATGTACTTTGGAGTTATTACTTTATAAGAAAAAATGAAAGATGTAGGTCAGGAGTTTTCAAGAGAAATGAATTAGTGCAAATTCTGAGTAGTAATTTTGCAAGCTGGATCTTTGGCACTCTTTTTCTCTCATCACTTTTATTTGCATTATTTTATGCCCATGCATAGATCAATAATTCATAAATTATAGTGCATAAATCTAGTGCTAACACCAGAAATTTTTCAGCTTTCATAAAACTAACTTTTTTCATAAAACTAACTTTCATAAAACAACATGCTCTGTGCATGTTGATAACACAATTTTATAATCACCTGCCATACCTATATTTTCAGATGTCCTAGTTAAAGAAGTACTAAGTTGTTGAAAGTTTTAGTTTCACCATGCACATCAAATGTATTGAAATGTTTCACTAACTGAATTAGTTGTTTTGTTTAGATTATATCAAACTTTGCTCTATTTAAAAAAAAATACAGATTTGACATAATTGGCTTTCTGCAGTCAAAGTTATACTCTGCAAAGTCAAATTAACACTTACATTCTAGAAGAGCAAAGCATGCTGAGTGTGGTGGCTCACGACTGTAATCCTAGTATTACGGGAGGCTGAGGCCTCTCTTGAGGCATAGAGTTCAAAACCAGCCTGGTCAACATAGTGAGACCCCCATCTCTACAAAAGAAAAAAATAAAAATTAGCGAAGTGTGGTGGTGTGTTACTGTAGTCCAAGCTACTGAGGAGGTTGAGGCAGGAGAATTGCTTGAGCCCGGGGGTTTGAGGCTATATTGAACCTGATTGTGCCACTGCACTCCAGCCTAGGTGACAGAAAAAAAAAACCCTCAATCAAAAAAAAAAAAAAGAGCTCAGAAAACAATTTATCGTATCACTTCTGGCTTGGAAGAGTTAATAACATTTTCATATTTCATTGCTTTATTCAGAATCTTGTTTTCAACTGATAATACTGAGTTTTTGTTTTGTTTCTGTAGTTTTTTTACTGTAGTCTTGTCACTGTGTTTTTAACTGAATTTGTTTTAAGCACATCACTGGTAGATTTAAAGTTTTATCAACACTGAAAAAAAGCAGGAAAAATCAAATAAGCACGACTTGACTTCTTTGCTGAATGTAGAGAATAAACCTAAGAACAAATTATCCTTTGGGTGAAAGCAGAAGAAAGGATTTACTTGTGCCTTTGTGTTTCATAAACCAGTACAAATAGCAATATTCTCGTGGATTTTATTGATATCATAATTTATAAACACAAATATCTATTGAGGCCAAGTGTGCCCTATATTGAGGAAATTGAACAAGTACATGTGAGGCAGAAATAGCTAGCATCTACAGAATCATGAATGGTGCTTGTCAGACTGAAGGACCAGCTAGCTACTTTCTTCTACTTGTTCTTGGTATGGTCAGTTGTTTCAATATTTTCAAGAAGAGACAGAAATTTAAAATTTTATATAGCATTTCTAGATTCTAAATGCTGACTATTGTTTTCTTTTCCTTTGCTTTTCTTTCATTTTCTTTTTTATTTCCCCTTCTTTTTTCTTCTTTTTCCTTTTATTCTTTCTCTCTTCATTCCTTCCTTCTTTTTTTTCACCAGTATTTTCCAGGCCAAACACAAAATTATATACCAAAAATGTAGACAAAACAATACAGCAAAATATTTTGTTTAATCATTGAGAGAATTCAGTGTTGGTCATTAAAATAATGAGAAAATTATATAACTCATTGTTCACACGATTTAAAGTTGTGATGACAGTAAACATCAATAAATTTCTTGTATGGCTTAAAGGTTTAGACATCATGTTGGCCTTCGGTAAAGACTCTAACAATTAATCACTAGGTGTTTTGCTTGTCTTGATCATCATTCAATTCACAAATTATCTTTCTTTCTTCATTCTCCACACTTCTCTTCTATGCAACTAGAAACAAGTTTAAATTATCAGTCTTTCATTATCTTTATTCCAATTAGTGATTTGCAAATACCTCTGATTCAAATTCATTAAGGAATAGATAGAGACCTCAGATTTCCAAGACTCACCACTGAGTCTACTCTACTTACTATGGTAGGTGCCCTAGAGATAGGACCCAGGTTATTACTTCTAAAGCTCTTAAGAGTGTTGTATGTTCAGGTGTGGGATCTATTATTAGAGAAGTGTGTTATGCTGGTCATCTACTGATGAATTACTTTATAAAATACAAATAAACTATAAAAATATATTCTTATTTTAGCCCTATTAAATGTAATATATTACATTAAAAACAATAATTTTGAAAGAAAACAATAATAAACAATGAAATTTAACTTCTAGGAGCACTGCAATGTACATAAATTAATGTATATTTTAGATATATTATACATATTTATCAGATTTGTACAGCTACATCCTTGTGGCATTTAACATTTTAAATCAAGGATCCTGAATATCCAAAACAACTTTGAAAAACAAGAGAAAGTTGAAAATCTCGTATTTTCTTACTTCAAAACTTACTATAAAAGTACATAATCAAAACTATGTGGTACTGGTATAAAGATAGACACATAGATCAATAGAATAGAATTGAAAGACCAGTAGGCTGGGTAAGGTGGCTCATGCCTGTAATCCAAACACTTAGGGAGGCTGAGATGGGCAGATCACCTGAGGTCAGGAATTTGAGACCAGCCCGACTAATATGGTGAAACCCTCTCTCTACTAAAAATACAAAAATTAGTTGGATGTGGTGGCATGCACCTGTACTCCCAGCTACTTGGGAGGCTGAAGCACGAGAATTGTTTGAATCCATGAGTTGGAGGCTGTAATGAGCCAAGATGGTGCCAAGAATTTAAAGACTAAATATAAAACTTCATATATATTGTCAAATGTTTTCCACAAGGATGCCAAGATTATTCTGTAAGAAATAGTTTCTACAACAAATTTTCTTGAGAAAACTGGGTATCTACATACAAAATAATTAAATTGGCTGTTAGCTTATATTTTTTATTAAAATAACTGAAAAGTAGATAAAGGACCTAACAGAGAGAGCCCAGATATAGGTTTACACATTTATGGTCAATTGATCCTTGACAAAAGTACCCAAAACTCACAATAAATATAGGACAGTATCTTCAGTAAATGGTGTTGGGAAAACTAGATAATTGCATACAGAAGAACGAAACTGAACCCCTATCTCACCATATACAAAAATCAACTCAAAGTGTATAAAGACTTAAAGGTAAGAACCCAAAGTATAAAACTACCAGAAGAAACATTGAGAAAAAAAACTTCCTGACTTGACGTAGGCAACTGATTTTTTGGCTATGATTCAAGAAGCACAGGCAACAAAAGCAAAGATAGACAAATGAGAGTATATGAAACTAAAAAGCTTTTGTACAGTGAAGGAAACAATCAGCAGAAAGAAGAGTAGTCTAAGAAATGGGAGAAAATATTTTCAAACTATACATCATATAAGAAGTTAATATTCAAAATATATAAGAAGCTCACACAACTCAATATCAAGAAACAAACTGATTTAAACATAGGGAAGATACCTGAATAGACATTTTTTCCAAATAATACATACAAATAGCTAATAGGTGTATGACAAAATGTTTAACATCAGTAATGCAAGTCAAAACTACATTGAGATATCACTTTGCATCTGCTATAATGGTAATAATCAAAAACACAAAAGATAAGTGTTGGTAAGGATGTGGACAAAAGAGAACTCTTTTATATTTTTGCTTGGAATGTAAATTAGTACAGCCATTATAAAAAACAGCATGGAGGTTCCTCAAAAAATTAACAATCGAACTAACATTTGATCCAGTATTCCGACTTCTGTGTATATATATCCAAAGAAATGAAATCATTATGTCAAAGAAATACCTACACCCCCATGTTCATTGCATAATTCACAATAGCCAACATATGGAATCAATTTAAGTGTCTGTATTAGTCTGTTTTTGCATTGCTAAAATGTATGAAAGTGGGTATTTATAAGAAAAGAGGATTAATTGACTCATGGTTCCTCGGGCTGTACAGGAAGCATAGTGGCTTTTGCTTCTGAGGAGTCATCAGGAACCTTACAATCATGGTGGAAGGCAAAGGATAAGCAAAATGTCTCACATGGCCAGAGCAGAAGGAAGAGAGAGAGGAAGGAGGTGCTACATACTTTTAAACAACCAGATCTCATGATAACTCACTCATTCACTCACTATCATGAGAACAGCATCAAGAGGATGGGGCTAAATCATTCATAAGAATTCTTCCCCCTTGAATCAATCACCTTCCACCATGCCCCACTTCCACAATGGGGATTACAACTGAATGTGAAATTTGGGTGGATATACAGATTCAAGTGATATGATTCTGCCCATGGACCTTCCCAAAACTCATGTCCTTTTCACATTGCAAAATCCAATCATACCTTCCTGACAGTCCCCCAAAGTCTTAACTTACTTCAGCATTAACTCAAATTTCAAAGTCCAAAGTCTCATCTGAGACAAGGCAAGTTCCTTTTGCCTATCAGCCTGTAAAATTAAAAACAAATTAGTTACTTCCAAGATACAATAGGGGTATAGGCATTTGGTAGATACACCTATCGCAAAAGGGAGAAATCCGCCAAAAGAAAAGGATTACAGGCCTCATGCAAGTCCAAAACCCAGCAGGGCAGTCATTAAATCTTAAAGCTCCAAAATAATCTTTGACTCTATGTCCCACATCCAGAGCACACCTATACAAGTGGTGGGCTCCCAAAACCGTGGTCATCTCTGCTTCTCTGGCCTTCCAGGGTTCAATCCCCACAGCTCTTCTCAAGGGCAGGTGTTGAGTGCCTTTGGCTTTTCCAGGAACAGGGTGCAAGCTGCTAATGGATCTACCACTCCAGAGTCTGAAGGACTGTGGCCCTTTTCTCACTAGGCAGTGCCCCAGCAGGGATTCTGTGTGGGGGTTCCCACCCCACATTTCCCATCCTCACTGCCTTAGTAGAAGTTCTCTGTGAGGGCTCAACCCCTGCAGTAGGGTTCTGCCTGGAGATCCAGGCTTTTCCATGCATCCACTGAAAACTAGTGTGTGTGTATATATATATATCATATATATATCATATTTATACATCGTATATATCACACACACACAATGGAATGTTATTAAACCTTACTGAAGAATGAAATTCTGTCATTTGTAACAACATAGGTAAACCTAGAAGATACTATACTAAGTGAAATATACCAACCACTGAAAGACAAATACTGCATGACTTCACTTACATGTGGAATTTAGGAATGTTGAACTCGTAGAATAAGAGAATAGAGAGGTGAATTCCAAGTGCTGAAGTGGGGATATGAGTTGAAGGAAAGCTGGGAATGATTGTTCAAATAACACAGGGTTTCAGTGCGGGGATGAATATAGTCTGAAGATCTATTTTATAGCATGGTGACTATAGTTAATAGTACATCATTTTTAAAAAGTGTTAATATATAAGACTTGAATTCTAGCATTCATGGCAATGTGTGTATGTGCCTACAGCAAATAGAAAATATGAACTCCATTATTTAAAAACAATTACCTTTATTTTATTTCTCTCCTCCTCCGCCTCCTCTTCCTTCACCTCCTCTTTCTCCTCCTACTTCTTATATATTTTAATTATGTCATTTTCCATGTGTTAAATAATAAATGAAGAAATGTGTTATTTTTCTACACACAAAAATTAAAATTTTCATTCTAAAGCACTCAAATTATACCCAGAGAATACGTTTTATCATTGAGTATACAAATGTAATGTTATATTGATTATATTTTACCTGCATATTTTTACATTGAATGAAAATGATATTTCGCTGGATCAATTTAAATTATTTCCAATAAAAAGTAAAGTTCCAAATCTCATGATTTCATTTATAGCACAAAGTAAAAATTAAAGGATTATTTCATATCACCTTAACATTTTAATGTACTTTATTCTTATAAGGTACTAATTTATTACTCAAGGTTTTGTTTTATAAAGTACCAAATGTATTGTTGTGTTCTTAATAAAATTACTGATTGTTGTTTGTAATAGTTTATTCATGACACCAAATTTGATAACTTTATTTAGGCAATTACATTAACCTGTTTTAAACTGTGCCTTTTAACCTTTTAACTCAAGTTCTAAATTTCTTAAGATATCATAATAAAAGAGAACCAACGAGTATGGGTTTTTCAAGACTCCTTTGGCTTTTAATCCAGAATCTGCCTCTTATTAGTGATATTGTATCAGTTACTTTTATGTTCTGTGACTCACATTCTCCCTTTCCCACACATGTTCAAAGTTGAAAAATCATTGATAGCTACATAATTATCAAGGGCTTGTTACACACATACAGTGATGTCTCAGTATCCATCTGGGATGGGTTCTAGGAATTTCTGCAGATACCCAAATCCAGGAATGCTAAAGTCTCTGATATAAAATGGTGTAGTATTTGCATATACCCTATGGACATCCTCTTGCATACTTTAAATCATCTTTAGATCACTTATAATGCCTCATACACTCTAAGTGGTATGCAAATAGTTGTTACACTGTATTTTTTAGGGAATAATGACAAGGGGAAAACATCTGCACATGTTCAATATTGATATATTTTTTAAAAACATTTTCTATCTGCTGTTAGTTGAATCCATAGATATAGAACCCATGGATATGGGAAATTGACTACTTGAGATTAGACAGCCTCTCCTCAGTATTCAAGAGACAAGATGGAAAAAGACAATTAAGGTCAAGGTCAGAACCTTGGTTAGCTAAAGAAATATTTTTAAAGTATACCAGAATTAAAGCCTGGTCTATTTTAAGAAATCAGTCATTTAAAGCCAAAGTTAGAGATCATGATGGGGTCAGGTTGAAATTCTTGAAACAAGCAGATTTTTAAAAAGAAGGAAAAGCTGTGAGATCCGCTACTGAAGTTAAAATGCTAGAAAAAGAGGGTGGAAATATAATTCCACATATATGTACATATTTATTAAAAATCTGTCATTCACAGTGGTTTTACAGATTCCATGGGAACACACGGTTGTTCATTATAAGGAGCTTTAACCATATGGTGAATGAAAGGCTGAATCAAGTTCTTCAGCCTAGGGTATGAGAGATTAAGTAGCAGCCACTAGAACAGACTATTTAAATGTCAAGCAAGATAAGACTTGGGTAAATGACTGGAATAATAGACAGGGGGCAGCAGTGAACAAATGGAGCATCACATTTAGCCAACTGCTCTCCTGACCATGTCTATCACGAGTTTAAGTTAGTGATACTTCAGGGTAAGTGAAGTGTGAATTGGTTAGATAAAAGACAGTATTTTTTGTCCAAGAAAGGAACTGCTCATAATATTTTCCTTTTAGTTTCTGGTACACATATTTATATATATATAAATGAACCATATTTTAGCTGTATACATAGCTGGATTTTAGCTGTATATATAGCTGAAATCCTCAAATATATTGGATCATTTATTCTAACTTAGATGTCAAAAGAGGTACTTTTTATTTCTGCCCCATCCACCTTAGAGATTTTGTTAAAACAAGTTGGAAGACAGAAGTGTGTGTTCAGTTAACGCTTTTAATGCTCTGTGTTTATATGCCCTTTTTCCAAAATTAGATTACCAAATTGAATTAAACGTATAACTATGCAATCAGCTTCTTCCAGTTATCCTTGTACATTTCCCCCATGATCCAAATTTTCCTACATCTGCATTTCTCCATTGATGTAATTCCACTCTGAAAATGAAAGCTGTATACCCTAACTGAAAACATGGTTCAAATGAAATAAAATAAAAACAAAATTTAAGTTAATAATTGTAATATTGTTTCCACTTCAAAAAAGTAAATATTTCTCTTTTATTTAATCTACACATTTTTCAAGAAAAATGAAAACATTTAATATATTGTATAAATTACATACTTTTAAATATTTTTTCTGCTTATCATGGTTACAAACATTGGTTAAACATGTATATATATGATGTGAAAAAAATAAAATTTAAAAGCTGTGGGAACCACAATAATCACTTTAAGCTTTGAGAGAAATGTTACTGCAATCTGTGTCACATATATTTAAAACTTCTATTCTCAGATTATAGATTAAGTTGTTTTCTTATTTGTTTTGTTCTGTACAATGACTAGAGGGAATTAAAGGAAGTCAGGGACAAAAACTTCCCATCTTCTTAGTTAGTAACCCTTGTTATAGATTAACTTTCCCTTTGTTATTTTACTTAGCTTAGACCAGAGAACAGAAAATCTATGATTATTACACCTTCTGTTAAATAGGTTAAATGTACCCTTCCCAAAAAGAAACACTGCCTGTAACAAATCAAATTGCTACACATATGTTCCAACCTTGTATGAATAATGTAGCCCTGCTGAAAACTTCTTTTTGACTATATAAAATGAAATTTTAACTTTTCTACTTTGAAACACTGACTCTTGGAGTAGTGTTTCCAGCTGGTCCATCCTCACACTTCACTTGAATAAACTCTCTTTGAATTAGATTCTGCTTCTTTTGATTATTTTAAGTTGACATTACATACACACACATACACACACTCACACACACACACACACACATATATATTTTAACCTTGCTTCAGAATAGTGTCCTTTGATATCCACAAGGGATTGGTTCCAGGAACCCTCATGCATACCAAAATCCATGGATGCTCATGCCCTTACATAAAATATCATGGTATATGCATATAACTCATGCACATTCTCTCACATACTTTAAATCATCTCTATATTACTTATAATACCTATACAATGCAAATGCTATGTTAATACTTATACTGTATTGGTTTTTAAATTTGAGTTATTTTTAATTGTTTTCTTTATATATATACATATATGCACATATATACATATATACACATATATACATATATATGTTATTATAATTTAAGTTCTGGGACACATGTGCAGAATGTGCAGTTTTGATACATAGTTATACACATGCCATCGTGGTTTGCTGCACCCATCAACCTGACATCTACTATCCCTCCCCTAGCCCCCCAAACCCAAAAAGGCCCTAGTGTGTGGTGTTACTCTCCCTGTGTCCATGTGTTCTCATTGTTCAAGTCCCACTTAATGAGTGAGAACACCCGGTGTTTGGTTTTCTGTTTCTGTGTTAGTTTGCTGAGAATGATGGCTTCCAGCTTCATCCATGTATCTGCAAAGGACATGAACTCATCCTTTTCATGGCTGCATAGTATTCCATGGTGTATATGTGCCACATTTTCTTTATCCATTCCATCATTGATGGACATTTGGCTTGGTTCCAAGTCTTTGCTATTGTGAATAGTGCTGCAATAAATATACGTGTGCATGTGTCTTATAGTAGAATGATTTATAATCCTTTGGGTATATACCCAGTAATGGAATTGCTGGGTCAAATGGTATTTCTAGTTCTAGACCCCTGAGGAATCGCCACACTGACTTCCACAATGGTTGAACTAGTTTACAGTCCCACCAACAGTGTAAAAGTGTTCCTATTTCTCCACATCTTCTCCAGCATCTGTTGTTTCCTGACTTGTTAATGAGTGCCATTCTAATTAATGGTATCTCATTGTGGTTTTGATTTGCATTTCTCTAATGACCAGTGATGATGAGAATTTTTTCATATGTTTGTTGGCCACATAAATGTCTTCTTTTAAGAAGTGTCTGTTCATATCCTTCGCCCTCTTTTTGATGTTTATTTTTCTTGTAAATTTGTAGATTCTTTGTAGATTCTGGATATTAGCCCTTTGTCAGATAGATAGATTGCAAAAATTTTCTCCCATTTTGTAGGTTGCCTGTTTACTCTGATGATAGTTTCTTTTGTTGTGCAGAAGCTCTTTAGTTTAATTAGATCCCATATGTCAATTTGGGCTTTTGTTGCCATTGCTTTTGGTGTTTGAGACATGAAGTCTTTGCCCATGTGTATGTCCTGAATGGTATTGCCTAGGTTTTCTTCTAAGGTTTTTATGGGTTTAGGTCTTTCATTTAAGTCTTTAATCCCTGTTGAGTTAATTTTTGTTTAAGATGTAAGGAAGGGATCCAGTTTCAGTTTTCTGCATATGGCTTGCCAGTTTTCCCAATATCATTTATTAAATAGGGAATCCTTTACCCATTGCTTCTTTGTGTCAACTTTGTCAAAGATACAATGGTTGTAGATGTGTGGTGTTATTTCTGAGGTCTCTGTTCTGTTCTATTTGGTCTATATATGTGTTTTGGTACCAGTATCATGCTGTTCTGGTTACTGTAGCTTTGTAAAACAGTTTGAAGTCAGGTAGCATGATGCCTCCGGCTTTGTTATTTTTGCTTAGGATTATCTTGGCTATGCAGGCTATTTTCTGGTTCCATATGAAGTTTAAAGTAGTTTTTTTCCAATTCTGTGAAGAAAGTCAATGGTAACTTAATGGGGATAGCATTTAATCTATAAACTACTTTGGGAAGTATGGCCATTTTCACGATATTGATTCTTCCTATCCATGAGCATGGAATGTTTTTCCATTTGTTTGTGTTCTCTCTTATTTCCTTGAGCAGTGGTTTGTACTTCTCCTTGAAGAGGTCCTTCACATTCCTTTTAAGTTGGATTTCTAAGTATTTTATTCCCTTTGAGGCAATTGTGAATGGGAGTTGACTCATGATTTGGCTCTCTGTTTGTCTGTTATTGGTTTATAGGAATGGTTGTGATTTTTGTATGTTGATTTTGTATCCTGAGACTTTGCTAAAGTTGCTTATCAGCTTAAGGAGATTTTGGGCTGAAACTATGGGGTTTTCAAAATATACAATCATGTCATCTGCAAATGGAGACAATTTGACTTCCTCTTTTTAATACCTCTTTTTTTTAATACCCTTTATTTCTTTCCCTTGCCTGATTGCCCTGACCAGAACTTCCAATACTATGTTGAATAGGAGTGGTGAGAGAGGGCATCCTTTACTTGTGCTGGTTTTCAAAGGGAATGCTTCCAGTTTTTGCCCATTCAGTATGATATTGGCTGTGGGTTTGTCATAGATAGCTCTTATTATTTTGAGATTTGTTCCATCGATACCTAGCTTATTGAGAGTTTATAGCATGAAGGGGTGTTGAATTTTGTCAAAGGCCTTTTCTACATATATTGAGATAATCATGTGGTTTTTGTCACTGGTTCTGTTTATGTGATGGATTATGTTTATTGATTTGTGTATGTTGATCCAGACTTGCATCCCAGGGATGAAGCTGACTTGTTCTTGTTGGATAAGCTTTTTGATGTGCTTCTGGATTTGGTTTGCCAGAAATTTTTGGAGGATTTTCGCAAAGATGTTCATCAGTGATACTGGCCTGAAATTTTCTTTGTTGTCTCTCTGCAAGGTTTTGGTATCAGGATGATGCTGGCCTCATAAAATGAGTTAGGGAGGATTCCCTCTTTTTCTATTGTTTGGAATCATTTCAGAAGGAATGGTACCATCTCCTCTTTGTACCTCTTGTAGAATTCACCTGTGAACTCTTCTAGTCCTGGACTTTTTTTGGTTGGTAGGCTATTAATTACTGCCTCAATTTCAGATCTTGCTATTTGTCTATTTAAGGATTTGATTTCTTCCTGGTTTAGTCTTGGGAGGGTGTATGTGTCCAGGAATTTATCCATTTCTTCTAGATTTTCTAGTTTATTTGCATAGAGGTGTTTATAGTATTCTCTGATGGTAGTTTTTATTTCTGTGGGATCAGTGGTGATATCCCCCATATCATTTTTTATTGCATCTATTTGATTCTTTTCCCTTTTCTTCTTTATTCTTCTGGCTAGCAGTCTACCTATTTTGTTGATTTTTTTCAAAAGACCAGCTCCTGGATTCATTGATTTTTTTGGACTGTTTTTCGTGTCTCTATCTCCTTCAGCTCTGCTCTGACCTTAGTTATTTCTTGTCTTCTGCGAGCTTTTGAATTTGTTTGCTCTTGCTTCTCTAGTTCTTTTAATTTTGAGGTCAGATCGATTTTAGATTTTTCCTGCTTTTTCTTGTGGGGATTTAGTGCTATAAATTTCCCTCTAAAGACTCCTTTAAATGTGTCCTAGAGATTCTGGTACGTTGTATCTTTGTTCTCACTGGTTTCAAAGAACATCTTTATTTCTGCCTGCATTTCGTTATTTACCAAGTAGTCATTCAGGAGCAGGTTGCTCACTTTCCATGTAGTTGTGGGGTTTTAAGTGAGTTTCTTGATCCTGAGTTCCAATTTGATTGCACTGTGGTCTGAGAGACTGTTTGTTATGATTTCCATTCTTTGGCATTTGCTGAGAAGTGCTTTACTTCCAATTATGTGGTCAATTTTAGACTAAGTGTGATGATGTCCTGAGAAGAATGTATATTCTGTTGATTTAGGGTGGAGAGTTCTCCAGATGTCTTTTAGGTCTGCTTGGTCCAGAGCTGAGTTCAAGCACTGAATATCCTTGTTAATTTTCTATCTCATTGATCTGTCTAATATTGACAGTGGAGTGTTAAAGTCTCCCACTATTACTGTGTGGGAGTCTAATTCTCTTTACAGGTTTCTAAGAACTTGCTTTTTGAATGTGGGTGCTCCTGTATTGGGTGCATATATATTTAGGATAGTTAGCTCTTCTTGATGCATCAATACCTTTACCATTATGTAATGCCCTTCTTTGTTTCTTTTGATCTTTGTTGGTTTAAAGTCTGTTTTATCAGAGATTAGGATTGCAATTCCTTCCCTTTTTTTTTTGGCTTTCCATTTGTGTGGTAAATATTCCTCCATTCCTTTATTTTGAGCCTATGTTTGCCACATGAAATGGGTCTCCCAAATACAGCACACTGATGGGTCTTGACTCTTTATCCAATTTGCCAGTCTGTGTCTTTTAGTTGGGGCATTTAGCCCATTTACGTATATGCTTAATATTGTTATGTGTGAATTTGAATCTGTCATTATGATGATAGCTGGTTATTTTGCCAATTACTTGATGCGGTTTCTTCATAGTGTCGATGCTCTTTGCAATTTGGTATGTTTTTGCACTGAATGGCACCAGTTGTTCTTTTCCATGTTTAGTGCTTCCTTCAGGAGCTCTTGTAAGGCAGGCCTAGATGACAAAATCAGCATTTGCTTGTCTGTAAAAGATTTTACTTTTCCTTCACTTATGAGGCTTAGTTTGACTGGATATGAAATTCTGCATTGAAAATTCTTTTCTTAAGAATATTAAATATTGGCCCCCATTCTCTTCTGGCTTGTAGTGCTTCTGCTGAGAGATCCACTGTTAGTCTGATGGGCTTCCCTTTGTGGGTAACCCACCCTTTCTCTCTGGCTGCCCTTAATATTTTTTCCTTCATTTCAACCTTGGTGAATCTGATAGTTATGAGTCTTGGGGTTGCACTTCTCGAGGAGTATCTTTGTGGTGTTCTCTGTATTTCCTGAATTTGAATGTTGGCTTGTCTTGCTAGGTTGGGGAAATTCTCCTGGATAATATCCTGAAAAGTGTTTTCCAACTTGGTTCCATTCTCCCCATCACTTTCAGGTATACCAATCAAACATAGATTTGGACCTATATTTCTTGGAGGTTTTGTTCGTTCCTTTTTATTCTTTTTTCTCTAATCTTGTCATCTCTCTTTATTTCATTAAGTTGATCTTCAATCCGTGATATCCTTTCTTCCGCTTGATCAATTTGGCTATTGATACTTGTGTATGCTTCACGAAGTTCTCTTGCCATGTTTTTCAGCTCTATCAAGTCATTTATTTCCTTCTCAAAATTGCTTATTCTAGTTAGCAATTTGTCTAACCTTTTTTCAAGGTTTTTAGCTTCCCTGTATTGGGTTAGAACATGCTCCTTCAGCTCGGAGGAGTTTGTTATTACCCACCTTCTGAAACCTACTTCTGTCAATTTGTCAATCTCATTGTCTGTTCAGTTTTGTTCCCTTGCTGGCAAGGAGTTGTGATCCTTTGGAGGAGAAGAAGCATTGTGGATTTTGGAATTTTCAGCCAGTTTGTGCTGGTTTCTCCCCATCTTTGTGGATTTATCTACCTTGGTCTTTTATGTTGGTGACGTTTGGATGTGGTATCTGAGTGGATGTGGTATTCCTTTTTGTTTGTTAGTTTTCCTTCTAACAGTCAGGCCCCTCTGCTGCAGGTCTGCTGGAGTTTGCTGGAGGTCCACTCCAGACGCTGTTTGCCTGGTTATCATCAGTGGAGGCTGCAGAACAGCAAAGATTGCTGCCTATTCTTTCCTCTGGGAGCTTCGTCCCAGAGGGGCACCTGCCAGATGCCAGCCAGAGCTCTCCTGTATGAGGTGTCTGTCGACCCCTACTGGGAGGTTTCTCCCAGTCAGGATACACAGGGGTCAAAGACCCACTTAAGGAGGCAGTCTGACCCTTAGCAGAGCCCAAACGCTGTGCTGGTAGGTCTGCAGCTCTCTTCAGAGTCATCAGGCAGGGACATTTAAGTCTGCTGAAGCTGCACCCACAGGCTCCCCTTTCCCCAGGTGTCTGTCCCAGGGAAATGGGGGTTCTACCTATAAGTCCCTGACTGGTTCTGCTGCCTTGTTTTCAGGATGCCCTGCCCAGAGAGGAGAAATCTGGCAGTCTGGCCACAGCGGCCTTGCTGAGCTGTGGTGGGTTCTGCCCGGTTCAAAGTTCCCAGCAGCTTTGTTTACACTGTGAGGATAAAACTGCCTACTCAACCCTCAGCAATGGTGGACGCCCCTCCCCCTGCCAAGTTCGAGCATCCCAGGTGGATCCCAGACTGTTGCTGTGCTGGCAGTGAGAATTTCAAGCCAGTGGATCTTATCTTGCTGGTCTCCGTGGGGGTTGGACCTACTGAGCCAGGCACTGGAGGGTATCTCCTAGTCTGTTGGTTGTGAAGACCCTGGGAAAAGTGCAGTATCTGGACCAGCGTTCCCTGTTCCTCCTGGTACAGTTTCTCACAGCTTCCCTTGCCTAGGGAAATGAAATCTCCAGCCCCTTGGCTTCCCGAATGAGGCGATGCCTCACACTGGTTTGGTTCGCCCTCCATGGGCTGCACCCACTGTCCAACCCGTCCCAATGAGATGAACCAAGTACCTCAGCTGGAGATGCAGAAATCACCTGTCTTCTGTGTTGATCTCGCCGGGAGCTGCAGACCAGAGCTGTTCCTATTTGGCCATCTTGCCCAACCCCTCTTTTTTAAAAAATATTTTTTATCCATAATTGTTTGAGTCTACAGATATGGATCCTGTGGATACAGAGAACCAAATGGACTTACTATTTGTTTTCCTGTCCCACACACTAGGTAGCTAGTTGCCCACTTTTTCCTAATTATCACATTCTGAATGTATTATCTTATGAGCTTTTCAAACAAAGGTCTTTCATTTGTCTTACAATTTTCCAAAGGCAGAGTTTAAAAATAATTTGAAATCTCACTTAGAATTTCTTTCAGCTATAAGTCTATGGCTTTTAAAATGAAATATACATAGAAAATCATAGTAGGAAACACTGATCAACTCTGTTAACTTTAAGACTGTGGTGAACTTACATCTAACTATGAAACCAAGCCTTCTGGTATAGTATCTGTCAAGGTGAAAGGAATTCATTTCTGATATTTCTCTACATTATACTTCATATTATAAATAAAACAAATAAATGCCTAATCCCAACTATCCAACTTTGGTATACACTATTTTCTTTTTTTACAAATTATTTTCTACATTATGCTGATATATATGTTGAATACATAGAATATAACTAGGTTTTAAGAGAATAAATGATATATGACATAGATGACTCAATCATGAATTAATTTTACTTTCTAAACCAATTTTGAGTGCACTTTAAGTTTCATTTACATAAGTAGACATATACCTAGTTATCAAGGTAAATACAAATATACCAATTTTATACATCAATAGTGTAAGCACATTTCTGATACAGTAAATATTTTATGTAATTAGTAATATATATTCCATGGGTATATTTCAAGCATTTTATCCAAATTTATCTTCCCTTGGTCATCACTAATTTTTATAACATATGCTTGTAACAAAAATGCTGATCAATTGGTGTCATTTTTCACAGAATAAAGCTTCACAAGAAATTAGCATATGTTAGAAGAAGAAAAACAGAGAGAATACAATAAGGAACATTCTGTTTGTGAGGAAGATTAGAATTTAATTCTTAAAAACTGTCAGAGCCTCTACTCCTTGGTAGCTTTCAGAATGCAAATCGATTTTTCATTTATTTTAACACTTTTTCTACTATCCTGAGAAAGACAACTATTTATATTTTTATATTCAACTAGTATATAGTTCACAGACATGATTTCTTTGAGGCTCTTCACAATGTTCTGAGTCAGGAAGCTTAAAATTTTGGGCCATGATTAAGTGGTATATCGAAATTAACTTGTGTTCTGACCTACTAACACAAGCTAAGGGTAAATAAAGCAGGACCTAGAATTATTATTTTTTTATTTTCTGGTATAAGTGTTGAGTGATCTTTTCAATTTTTAGTATTGCAAAGGAGAATCAAGAATATAAACCACTAACATAATGCATCTCTTGCATGATTTCAGGTATAAATAAGTAAAGTACATTGACTTTTTCTTTCTCCACTTCTCTTTTTCATTTTGCCTCCCAAGTGGCTGTTAGGGCTGCACATTTCATCCCCAGTTCCACTTATCTTGTTCTATCATCATATTTACATTGCTGTAATGTCCTGCTAACTGTGCTGATAGTGTTTTCCTCTATCCTTCTTTAGTCTATTCTTCACATTTCAGAAACAATAATTTTCCTCAAATTTCAATTCGATAGATGTTCATAATTGATACAATAAAATCCAACCATTCCCCCAAAATCTGAAAATATGTCTGTTATGCCCTTAAAAACAGATTGAATGTTAAGCAGAATATATCTATACACACACACACACACACACACACACGTATACACATAATATATAATATATATACTGCCTCCTCTAATATCAGTAGTGCTATAATTCTTTTTATGAAATGCCTTTTTTTTCCAACAAGTTTTAATGGACAAGCCATATACCTAAAGTTAATTCAAACTATTCATTTTATATGACTTAGAAAAAAATAGTTTAGTAAAAACAGAAAACTAAAATTTTATATTAAATATTAGATAAATCGACATTGAATAAAAACACCACATAGAGTTATTGGTGTAATTACTTGTTGCATTACATTATTCAGATTTAGATAAAATACATTTATGCCTCCTGTGTTATGCTAAATATAAACAAGAATTTAAAGGAATTTAGAAGGAAATAATTAATATTAGATTTACTGTGCAATACCTTTTCCTACATACACAGGTGCAATAGCAATGATACATTGGTAAATTTCTAAAGCAATTGAATTTACTATACGTAAAATAATATTTGAAGATTTTAGAAAACCTAGAACAGACTGTAATGGCCAGTAAAGTAGTTCCAACTACTAAATAAAGAAAATACGTTTTTGTTGAATTATATAGTGCAAGGCATTTTGCATTATTTTCCTTTAGAGACTCATGTCTAAGTTCCATAAATGAAAAATAAACTGTTCTGTAGCATCTGTCTGTTAAGGGCAAATATACTACTATAGTTTTTAATCTGTGAAACAACACAGTAGGCCAAAAATGTAAATTAGGTAAAAATTAAGAGTAAGATAAACTATTCATACCCTTTATAGAATGAAATTGCAAATATATACATAAACAAATGAATAGTTATAAAAGTAAGATTGACTTTGTAATGGATGAATATTTCTTCTGAAATCTATCCAAAATAAATATTGTTTTTAGTTTAGTCTCTGGAATAAAAATGCGTCAACAATTTTAAGATTTAGACAAAGCTATCTGGGCTCTTCTCCTACCCTTTTTTCCTCCAGGAAGCTCCACTACATAAACTTCTGTAGTGGACAACATGAGGTAACACCCAGATTGAAATTCATGACTGGTATACCCAGTTTCTGCAAGGACAGCTCTCAGCTTCTAGCCTCCTTCAAATATAGATGAAGAAAGACACCTTGCCCAAGGTGATAATTTCTTCATGAGGTGCCTTTCTTCCAATGAGTGATTAATATTGAGATATAAAAGCCCAACCCTTACTTCAACTTGAGACAACTTTGGAGTATCATCCCAGCATCGGAGCTACCAATAAGCACAGCTGAGGCCCTTGTATGGGTGGACTGAAGCCCATAGTGAGTCTTGCTTCCTCCTGTCCCTTCCACAAGTATTTATACCTAGAACACTCTCTAATAAACTGCCTGCGTACTAACATCCATCTCCTAGGTTGTTTCCCAAGAAGTCAAACAAAAAACTCACCATTTTTGTACATTCCTTTACATAGTCTTAGTATGTATAATTCAAATAATATATATTTTAGAGTGATCTAGTCCTTTAGAGTACAAGCTCTATAGGACCTGCAGTAACATGCAGTTGCCCCAGAAATACTAAACTAATGAAGTAGTTTTCTTCCAAAATGTATGGAAACTGACCAATAAAGCAATAGTTTTATTATAATAATAAGTATTATTCTCCAATATGGGACATCTGCTGCTAAGTGCTTGAAAATCAATGTATTAGCTATTTACTACTCTGCTGAAATTAATTATTAGGATTGGTGAGGTACTGAGAAAACAACAAAAATCAGTTTTGTTTTTGTTTTTTTGAGACAGAGTCTCACTATTGTCCAGTCTGGGGTGCAATGGCAGTGATCTCAGCTCACTGCAACCTCTGCCTCTCTGATGATAGTTATGCTTCAGCCACCAGAGTAGCTAGGATTACAAACTAGAGATGGGTATTTGTCATGTTGCCCAGGCTGGTCTTGAATTTCTGGGCTCAAGTGATCTGCCAGCCTTGGCCTCCCAAAGTGCTGGGATTACAGGCATGAGCCACCGCTCCCGGCCCAAAAGAGGATTTTAATTATGAGTTTGTTACTAACTAAATATGTGGCCTTGGGCAGCCACTTAATTTCTCTAGATTTCAATCTTCTCTTTAATAAAATGAATGTTTCAACCAAGACAGTATGTCGTCTTTCAAGAAAGGTCTGGCAGGGGAAGGATAATCCATAATAAGATATGAATACAAAAAAATACATCCACATGTTCAGACAAATGATAGTTTGTTGATTCTAAATATCATAAAAAGAAGGCTTTGAGTATGGTTAGAATAGCGAAAGTTTCCATGTGAGCACTGTGGTTGATATTCTATAGTATACAACTGTCACTCAAAAGTAAAATATCCAGTTTCGGGACCAAATTCTCCAGTCTCCTGATATCGAGGTTAGCTATGGAAGTAACTTTCCTTTGAGGGAAAGTGAAATATTGTATTTGTGGAACCAGATTTTAAGTATCTGTTGCGCTTTCTCCAAATTTTCTCTTCTCTGCTGGCTAGATGAAGAGATTGACAAGGCCCTAAGGGAAGATGGACCACACAATGAAAGGAGCTGGGATCCTGGATCATCGTGTGGATAAAGGCAGCCTGCCAACAAGACACTGACATTGTATTGTTAACTATGAAGTAGACTTTTCTTGTTACTAAACTACTGCCATTTTGTTCTGTGATAGTGATTATTTTAGCAACAATCATTAACAGAATGAAGTTTAAAATTAATTATTTCAAAATGTTTCCCCTTCAATCCCTACTTCCCTTTAGATTATACATACCTTGAGATAGTTCATTACGTAAAAGAAAATTCAGCTGGCAATTATCTGTAAAATGCCAAAATATAGCGTTGTTCTATTATTTTATATTCATGACAAGCACTAGCACCTTCTTGATGTAATTATATCACTTATTAAACATTAGTGCCATATACCGTTTTATAGCATTTTTTAAATTTAAATTATTACAATCTGTCAATACACAAAAACTACATTATAATAAAATATGCACACTTTTCCGTTCTGTACATTTGTTAGTTTCCTTCTGAGATGTACATATTAAAAAGAATGTGATGAATTAGCAGAAATGTAAGAAAATCTGCAAATAATTTAATAGCTTAGAAATAAAACCAAGCAGAAAATGCTTAAATAATTAAATTTTGTTCTAACTCATTAGGGAAAAAATGGCTTGAGAGAGAATATAACATAATATTAAATTATATAACAGATTTGATGAACATGATTGTTTATATAGTAGTTGATGATTTAAATGGAAATTATGAGAAATTTGATTTGCTGAGTATTCTGCATTTAAAAATAAAAAGAGTTGGACTTGGTGTTAACTAGCTTTTGGGTTTTAGAAATCATTAATTTTTTTCTTTCAATAGTTAGTACCTGCTATGTATCAAACATTATGCTTATCAGTTGGAGAACAAAAATTATTAGACTTGGCCCCTGTCATAAACAGCTCTCATTATAAGAAGAAATAAAATAAGTCTATACAATAGAAACAGGGGCTAAAGACAGTTTAAAAGATAAGCATCAGGCAGTCATCTCTTCTCTCTACCTTCCTGCCATTCCTGCATAACCCACTTTATTCTTCAGAATGATATTTTTAGAAGTTAATCACCTTATTTCATGCCCTGAATTACATCCCCTAATTATTAGTACCTACTGATTTCTCACTGGGCTTAAAATGGTTTCAGCACTGCTTTCTCTCTCCTGACAGCCTTATGAGATTGCTTCTGCATAAGTTCCCCTCCTTATATAACACTATTCTCCCTCTTTCCCTCTAGACGCTTTGGGTTTCTTTCTGTTTTCACATACATCAAATATACCTTATGCTCTTAGGAACTGCTATTTCCTCTGCCTGGGCTTTCCATTTCTCAGATCTTTGTATGGCCAATTGGCCCTTTAACTCTAACCATTAAGATGTCAGTTCCAGTGATGCTGCACAGAACTATTATATAGACCATTGTAGGGAGACCCCCTGAAACTATTGCTACAGAATAAAAGATGAAATGCTCCTGATTATTGTAAATACAAAATTGCATGCAGGATTGTGTAAAGACCATGCCAGTTTGGACTGCCAGAACAAGCCAACAGCACATGATGTGCTTCCCCCTGCAGAGAGCCTATGAATGGATGTGCAGTCAGGGAGGTTTCACATCACCAAGATTCTTATCCCAGAAAAGCAGATGTTCATAGCTCTGGGAATGGAATGCAACCCTTGTGGAGAGCCCATAAACGGATGCATGGGAGGCGCCTGTCCATATGGATAAGATAGGACTATAAACACCCTCATCTTGCCAGGGCTCTTCTAGGCCTCTTTAGGGTTAAGGCATACTCCCTTCTGAGAATTTCTGGTCTAACCGGTTGTTTAGCTTCACGTCCTGTTTCCATGGATTATTTGTAACCTGCTTTTGTTGCAATTGTTAATGCTGATTAATATCTTGCTAATCATCGGTTATGGAAAGATTGTGTTTCTGTTTTAAGGCTCTGTTAGAAATTACTGACGTACACACTATATTGTAAATTCTTATCTCTGTATACTGTACTTCTACATACAAATGTACTGTGCTTCTACATACAAATGTTATGTTAAAGAATTACTTCATCCCCATGTGACCATCTCACCTCATAATTAAATGACCCTAAAGCTCTCACTAACCTACCCCTGCCCTCACTAAACTTAATAATAAATGCTGGTATATCCAGTGCATTGTTGGCACCACGGGACCAGAAGGCAGTGACCCCCCTGGACCCAGCTTTCACTATCTTGTGTGTGTCTATTATTTCTCAACCTGCCAATCTGCCTGGGAACAAAGGGACAGCCCCGTTGCATTATGGGCTGCTGGCCAGATCCCGCAATAGACCATCCTCTTCAAAGTTTATCAGTTTTCTAATGACCTTTATATTTTACTATTTTTAGATCTTTGTAGCTTTTGTTATTCTGTAAAATTATATTTATATGCATTTATTTTCTTCTTTGTGATTTGACCCTCTCTATTAAAATTTAATTTTTATGATAAGCAACACTTGGTATCTATGTCTTACTGCCTTATCTTCAACAATGAAAATAATTCTCGGTGTACATATTAAGTGCTTTAAAAATTGTTGAATTTTAAGTGAATGAGTGAGGACAAAATTATAAAGCAGATTGGTCATGGGCTGAGTCTTGAAAGATGAGTAGAATCTAACCAAAAATAGATTCCTCCTTAGTAATAATAATAGTGCATCAATATTATTTTATTAAATGTTACAAATGCATTATACTGATGTATAATGTTAATGACAAGGTGAAACTGGGTGTGGGACATACAGATACTCTGAATTTATTGTATATGTAAAACTGTTCTAAAAAATAACATCTACTTACAAGACAGTGTCACATAAAAATGCAAAAAAAGATGTGTCACTGTCAGTTTCCAGCCCAAGCTGAGGACCGAGGGCAGTGGGTGGCTGAGCGGCGGGCAGCTGAAAGAACACTCAAAGAATCCTAGGGAGTTTTGACATGGCTTCACTCTTTTTTTTTTTCCTGCTCTTTTTTTAACTCACTTTTTTCTCTGCATGCGAGCCCAGGAAAAGAGTAAAGCCCCATGTCAAAACTCCCTTCAATTCCTTGAGTGTTCTTTCAGCTGCCCACAACTCGTCCACCCACTCTCCTCAGTCCTCAGCTTGAGCTGGAACCTGACACTTGGCATGACATTTGACGTAGTTGGCAGGATCCCAAGCTGGGTGAGCCTTCGGTCCCCACTGATTCCGGAGTAACCATGTGGCCACAACATGGGTTGTGGCACCCCAGTGGCAGCTGTGCTGCGAGGATGGGTTCTGGTGGAAACCCGGGCAGCAGTAGATGGGTCCCTCATGAGCATGGAGAAGGCGCTGAAGCAGCTGGAAGCACAGAGCACTGAGTAGAAGTGAGTTTTTGCCAGCGGAGTGGGGTGGGCATTTTTGACTGCACTATGAGAAATACACACCCAGTCCCTAAGGGATGCAGCAGAGGTAAGGGTCCTCCAGGCACAGGAGCGGTTCCTGGAAGCCCAGCTACACACTTCAGCAAAATAGTTAGAAGCTGACGTGAATGGGGACCTCCAGGTGCAGGTGGGGCACCTGGAGGCCTGGCTACAGAGCTTGGAAAAAAAATTAGAGTCTGCTGTGAATGCAGGCCTGGGTCCGTTGTCTCTGCTGGAGACCTCCACTCGGTCTGAGACTGAGGAGGCCATTGGCGGGAACAAGGGGTCTGTGCCATAAAAAGGGTGAAGATGCCCCAGACACAAGGTGGGTCCCCCATGGGAGAAAATGGTGCCCTAATGAGTGACATGCTCATTGTGACATTCCAGAAAATGCCCAAAGGGGAGAAGAACATTGCTGCATGACCCAGTCCCGCCTGGGCACTCCAGCTCAAAGACTAAGTGCTTCAGCCAGGCGGGGTTGTAAAGCCTTTTCTGTTTGATAAGGGAACTGGCCAAGGTGCCCAGCTTGGGGAAACACTGGACAACCAGAGGGCACAGACACCAGCACAGATACATTCTGGGAGTGGACATTTTACACGACTTGGCAGCTGTGCTATCTATCACAGACTGAATGGACCTCTTGATGACAGAATTGGGACAGTACCACTATGTGGTGGACTTAGCTAATGCATTTTTTTTCCTACAGAGCCAGGAACAGTTTGCCTTCATGGGAGGGCAACAATGGATATTCATAGTGTTGCTGCAAGGCTATGTGCATAGCCCCACCATGTTATGGTCTTGTTAATGATACTATCCTAACCTCTGATTCTCTTGCAGATTTAGAAGTGGCCATGATCCCCTTGCCTAGAATTAAGATAGTGTGGCTGAGACTGCCTTCCTGGAAGCCAAATGGGCTATTCAGCAGGCACAAGCCCTACAGGTAGTTGACCAGGGGCACCCGTTTGAGCTGGACTTGCATGTGACCACAGATGGTTTCAGCTGGGGCCTGTGGCAGCACACAGAGGGCTTAAGAACACCAGTAGCCTTTTGGTCCCAACTATGGAATGGAGCTAAGCTGAGGTATTCATTGAAAGAGAAGCATTTGGTAACTGCATATGCTGCCTTTCAGGCTCATGAGAGCATGGCCTGATGGGCTACAGTCATCATGCGGATGACTTACCAGATACTGGGATGGGTGCGTTCATGGATAATGACCCTCCGAACTGGGAAAGCAGTTAGTAACTGCATATGCTGCCCTTCAGGCTTATGAGAGCATGGCATAATGGACTACAGTTGTCATTCAGATGACCTACCCATTAGCAGGATGGGGGCGCTCATAGATAATGACCCCACAGACTAGGGCAGCACAGACATCCGCTTGAGCAACGTAGAGCACCTACTTAGAGCAGTGAAGTACTCTGAATGCAAATCCTTTAGCAACAGAGCTGCAAGCGGTCTTGGGACCTGTAGTCCTAATGCAATTTAAGGCCATGGGGCCTAAGGCCAAGGAACCTGAGGTACCCCTAGACCCTGAGCCTTCACCATTTAAGGAAGGGTGTCCCCCCAATTCCCCATGGGGCATGGTACACAGATGGGTCTAGCCAAGGTGCTACTGCTGCCTGGACAGCTGTTGCAGTCCAGTTTAGCACTAATTACCATATGGTTTGAAACCGGGTATGGACGAAGTAGCCAACTGGCTGAATTCAGAGCCATATGAATGGTGATCACCAAGGAGGTGACACCTATGGTAATCTGCACCAATAGCTGGGAAGTTTATCGAGGCTTAACCTTGTGTTTAACTACTTAGAAGTTACATAAGTGGCTAGTTAGTCACCGGCCCATGTGGGGCCAGGCCATGTGGCAAGACCTATACGGGGAAGGATGACCTTCTTTGACCAGGTATGGGGACAAACAGTAACCTGTTGTTGCCTGCCCCAACTCCCCTAAAGGTAGGGGAACAAAAAACCTGGCTTAATATATAAAGCAACATTGGGGTAAAGTCACCATGGGGTGGTTGCCCACATATGTCCAACATGTGTGTCTGGGGCCTGTGTGTGAAGCTTGTGTATCAGGCCTGTGTTCCCAGAGCTTATGTGTCAGGCTTAGGTATTAAGCCTGTGTGTCCGGCCTGTGTGCCCAAAACCTATGTATCAAGCCTCTATGTCAGACTTGTGTGTCCAAGCCCTATGTCTCCCTTGGCCTAGCAGGTAGAGTGTAAGAAAAATTGAAGTACTGTGGTCAAGAATAGGCCGAGGCAGATATCTGGTCCAGCAAGACTCAGTGGGTTTGGAGTGCAGGTACACAACCCTGCACATTATGTAACCACAACATGTAGCACATTATGTAACCACACCACATGAGGTGAATTAGATGATCACCCATATGAGCTCACGCTTGGCTCAGAGCCACTATTGTCTGTAGAAGGTATAATTACCCTGCCTAAGCTGCACATATGGCTCTCGTTCATGCCCATAGAGAAAGTAAAGTCATGTCGAAACCGTCTGTGATTCCTCGAGTATTTTTCCAGCTACTTGCCACTTGCCCAACAGCTCCTCTTGGACCTCAGTTAGAACCTGATAGGGTGGTGGAAATACAGTTTCACAGCAAAAGATAAAATGATGTGAGGATATCTCCAACCACTTTGATACAAAAATCTCGTGTTATTGGCTTATGCAGGTAAGAATATAAGCTGTTTATGGTTGGGCTCCTCAGGAGTGGATACAGAGATGAAGGTTCACGTGATAGGGAGAGAGTAGGAATTATTTCTAGGATAACTAGTAGTGGAATAGAGAAGCAGGACTGGGAAGGAAAGGACATAGAGGGATGGTGCACCAAGCAAAGTCTCCTGGAAGGTAAGTTTGACTCGATCCTGTAGGGAAAATGTGGAAATAATGTGGGCCATCTTTTAGAAGATTCATAGGAAAGGCAGCAGCTGAAGTATTTACATGCCACAGCACTCAGTTACTGGTTTAGCCATCCCTGGGTAAGATCAGGTGCTCTAAATTCGCAAAAATCTTCAACTAGGGTGAGGCAGGCAAGTTCTTGCAGCCTGAGTGCTAGCTTCAGACACAGACATAGGGGCTGGTTGTTGAAAGTAGAAGCACTCTGAGAGCTGGAGATAGTAAAGGAGTCTAAACAGACCTTTATGGAACACTGACATTGATTTGATTGCTATAGCCAAATCTTTGTATTACCTACGTAAATCCTGGTTCAGTTCTAGACAATGTTTGTTATTTTAGGACTAAGGTTCCCAGTAATATCAACTTGTTTAGGTCCAGTTGGTTTTGTCCTCTGAATTACCTTAGTTGTCTAACTGTAGTAATATATATTTATTCTTCTGTGTTAATAGTTGTTATATTTTAGAGTGCATCAGCTTGCTGTACGCTATTTCTTATTTCTAATTTAGTAGAGTTAGGTTAGGGCCTAGAATTTGTATTTACAACAGTTTCTCAGGTCATGCTGATGGTGCTGATCTGAGACATCACCATTCCTGTTTATATCTGGGAATATAGAAATATTCCCAACATATGTTTCGTGAGTATTTTTCATATATGAACATAATCATCTTGTTTACAGAAGATAGTTGTTTTTGTGAATTATGAAGTCTTAAAATGTTCCATCATGTTAAATACTCATTTGATTTTAACCATTGGAATATATTTTATATTTTTAATATACTCTATTAATAAATGGTTGCTTTTTGTTTTATTTTTACAAATATCTTGCCATTATTTAAGAAACATAAGTAAATATAATAGCTAAATAAATAAATACGTCCTCTTGAAAAAGTGACGGACGCTTAGGTTATATTTGTCTGCTCTAGTATACACATAACAAAGTATAAATCAATAAGAATATACACCACAAGAAAATGAAAGACTAAACAACTTAATTTTTAATTCCTCAGTGAAATTGCAGCATCTTGATATATATGAATTTTTTAATTGCTCTATTAGGTAATACATTTTTGATAAATTCTTAGATTAGGAGAATCAGAGAATTCATGAAGCATTTCATTTTCTCTTGGAATATTCGGTAACGTTCTGTTTTAGATAAAAAATAACACAGTAAACTGTACTCTGTGTATAAGAAAAATATATCCATAAATCAAAATGCCTAAATATAATGGTCCACTTTAAAATATCCTAGGCTTCAGAGATGAGGCCCAGTGTTTCTTACAAAAAATTACTTAAACAATTCTACTTACTTTTAAATGAAAATGACTGTGGTGAGGCTGGGCGCGGTGGCTCATGCCTGTAATCCCAGCACTTTGGGAGGCCGAGGCGGCGGATCACGAGGTTAGGAGATTGAGACCATCCTGGCTAACACAGTGAAACCTCGTCTCTACTAAAAATACAAAAAAATTAGCCGGGCGTGGTGGCGGGCACCTGTAGTCCCAGCTACTCGGGAGGCTGAGGCAGGAGAGTGGCGTGAATCCAGGAGGCAGAGCTTGCAGTGAGCCGGGATCACACCACCGCACTCCAGCCTGGGCAACAAAGTGAGACTCCGTCTCAAAAAAAGAAAAAGGAAAAAGAAAATGACTCAGTCTCAAAAAAAAAGAAAAAAGAAAGTGACTGTGGTGAACTCATCAATACATATTTGTATAACAAAGTATAACAAAGCTACCACAGAGCTGTATCTTACAGGGAGCTTTCCATGAACCTAGGTTGGTTATTTGGGTATCGTTTAAGTTATTTTAGGTTAAGTATGGAAATTAGGTATACTTCGTTAAATATTTTTTAAAAGTGATCTTGTTCTTTTATTTGTCTGACTCATTGAAACATTTTACTCTTCAGCAGTAGTTCTGATTATGTCATCTACACTTACTTTGGTGGCAGGCTTTAATTCTTTTTTTTCTCCAGAAGCAACTGAACACTGACATTTGTTTAATTCTTTAAGAATTTTTATTAATGCCTATAAAACACTAATAAAATATATTATTAGTTCTGGTATATATTATTAGAATATCTTAGAATTGCTGTATGATTGCATTTTTCACAATTCTCAATATTTAATTACAACTTTAAGTGGCTACTCTTGATTCTCCATATTATCAAACAAATAGTCATTTATTCTTATGAGTCATTGATCATCCTTCAATATTTTTCATAGGCAGAAAGATACACAATTTTAATGAAGTACCACATACTACAAAGAATATTAGAAAAATAGAATTAACATAAAAATCATAATTACTATCTAAAAATCAATTTAAAATTTCCGTTATTTGTGTATCAATACTCATGTACTCTTCAGCATTTATAAAGAAGCCAGGAAAACATAAAAACATAAGGTTTTTGAAGATCCAGGTCCACTGCCCTGGAGGTGATCCAAGGAACCTCAGCGACCTACAACACATTCCTAGCTAAAAGCATCAGCTCACGTTCTTCAGGAATATTGTCTGACCCTGGCCCAGACATATGGATTGAGAGATTGCAATATGCATAAATCAGCAGGGTATCTTGGGGAAACTACAGAGTGCATTTAGCTGCCTACAGCTGGCAGAACTGACTTGTACAGCTTATTACCAAAGGAGAGAAATTTTCTCTGGCCCCACTGCTCTCACTGGGAAGTTTCTAATGACAGGATTCACTTTGTTTCACTGAGAAATGAGGATTTTACCTGTAATGTACAAATATATATAGTAAATTCTTTCATGAGGAATTACAGAGAAAACCACCTCCATTCCACTTTGGCAATCACACATTTGAACATTGTTTACACATTGAATATTGAATTGCAATATTCCCTGACAGTCTTCTACCTCCAACACTGTGAAATTCTGACTTTTTTTTTTTTTTTTTTTACAATAACCTACTTTTCTTCTGTAACCCATGTCCTCATTTGGTCTGAATCTCTTCTTAACATTTGTTATCAAACCCTCCGTTTTTCCAAATTACTACTTACTGCTCACCCTTCTGGCTTTTATTTTCAATATGTATGGCTAGGCCAAAGTTGCTCCCTCCCACACCCTGGATTACTCCTCTCAGCCCATTCCATCACTCATTAACCAATTACAAACTGCTTCTCCCTAGCATTATTGATATGATGCAAACTAGATCTAGATAGAAACATAAAAAAGATTTTGATCAGGTGGGACAGAAGGATGTGAAGATAGGAGGCTTTCCATAGGCTACTTTGGAGACTGGGCCTGTGAATTTGGGCTAAAAAGAAAAATAAGTGCTTAGAAAGAAACAATACATAAAGAAGAAATCAGTGCTTAGTTGAAGGAGCCCACATTGTGTGTTTTAATAATACTTCTTATTTAAAGGGTTGACCAATGGGTAAAAAGCTACAGTTAGGTAGGAAGAATAAGTTCTGGTGTTCTATTGCATAGTAGAATGGCTGAAGTTAACAATATTTTATATTTCAAAATGGCTAGACGTTTTTTAATGTTCTCATCACAAAGAAATGCCAAATGTTTAAGATGCTGGATATGCTAATTACTCTGATTTGATCATTGCACAATCTGTACATGTATTAAAACATCATATTGTACCCTAGAATTATGTACAATTATTATGTAATGTAGAAAATTTTAAAAATAATAAGTTTTGTATTATATTTGAAAAGATTTTTTAAAAAGTTACCCTTGCATGGTAGTATGCCCCTGTGGCCCCAGCTACTTGGGAGGCAGATGTGGGAGGACTGCTTGAGCCCTGGAGATTAAGGCTGCTGTGAGCTATAATGACACTACTGCACTCCAGCCTGGGTGACAGACGCTGTCTCAGAAAAAAAAAATAAAAGAGTAAAAGTAGGCCTCTGTTCTCCATAAACAATCATTATTAATAACTTACTTTGCTGCTTTCAGAAATGTATGGATATAGAAGTCTTTATTCTTTCAACAGGAATGTTGATGAGATTGTAACATATATAATGTCAAACTAACATTTCTTATACCACAAGGATATTTTTATATTAATATATATACACATATACTGTATTCTATTTAATGGGTAACATGTATTCCATTATAGTGTGGTTCATAATTATTTAGCCAGTTATATATTAATAAGTTGTTTCTAGGTTTTTTTCTCTTCAATAAAATAAATGCTTTATAGAAGACGCTTGCCCTGAGCATATCCACGGAATAAATTCCTAGAAGCTTATTTGCTGGGACCAAAAATTATGTTTATTATAAAGGTCTTTATGCTAGTTTACACCACTCAAATTTTCTCACAGATGGTCCTGGGAATTGAGATCTCAGCTTAACATCACCCTTTCAGACCTTTATGGACAACATGGTAGTTTTTGGTTCTCTGTTAATATGTTACTCATTGTCTTTTGTGTTTTCTACCACCAGAATGCGGGTCCCATGAGAACAGAGACATTTTCAGACTTGTTCACCATCAGTAGATACACAGTAGCCAGTCCACAAATAGTTGCCACATAAGTAAACATTAATATTACTATCATGGTAACATTTCATGACATTCTGTTTACTAATAAAGAAATAATAAATAGAACTGTGGAGTGTTTTTGAATCTTGGTCCTTGGACCCGTTTATTTACTCTGTAAGTGACCTCATGTAGTTCTATACCTTAAAGTATTATTTATATGTATGTGACTCCTACAAACATATTTCTAACCCAAATAAAAATGATATTCCTTCAAGAATCCATATAGAATTAATTCTGGAATTTATGTAACCACTTCTTGTCACTTTCATTACCAATATGCTTGTACAAAATATAATAATTTCTCATCTGAGTTATTACAAGAGCCCTTAAACTAGGCTCTCTGATCTACCCTTATTCTTTTAAAATCTGCTCTCAAATCAGCAACCATCAGATAATTTTTAAGCATAGGTCAAGTAATATCACTCCTCTTCCAAACATCAAAGTGAACGTTATACCAATAATAACTCACATTGACATCTATGTCCCTGGATATGATGCTATGAGAAGGGCACATCAACTCTCTGTTATTTTTCCCCAAAACTCATAACCTTGATCTAATAATGAGAAAACACCAGTCAAACCAAAATTGAGTGACATTCTATAAATTATCTTACCAGTACTTACCAAATGTACCACGGAAATAAAAGAAAATGAAAAACAGACAAATTATTACAGCTTGGAGATGACTAAGGAGACACAATGACTGAATGCAAGATGATATAATGGATTGCTTCCTGAAACAGAAAATACAAATTAATTAAAAAATTGAGAAACTGGAGTAAAGTCTGTACCTTAGTTAATAGTATTATGCTAATGATAATTTCCTAACTTTGACAAATGTACCATGGCTATTTAACATTAAAAAACAATAAAAGGTATGTGGAAATGTTCTATCTTTACAACTATTTTGTAAATCTAAATGTATTTCAAAATAATATTATTAAAAAATAATTTTGTGTCTTTATTTTTCACTTATAAAAAGAAAATGGAGTTTCATTGCACCTGCAGTTGCTGCCTCGCTCCACTTGCCTTTCCTCAGCCATTTCTTACCAACCCTTTGATTCATTTCTCCTCACTCGTTTGATCACTGTGATCAACCAACATCCTTGATGTTTTTTTAAAAAAAATTGAGAAATTCAGGCCTCAGGGCATTTGCACTTGCTTTGACATCTATTTCCTCAATTTTCCACAAGGCTTTCTTCTTCAGATGTCTGGGCAGGTCTCTGCTGAAAAGTAACCTAAGAGTAAATCTTCCCCTGACCATCTTTCAAAAAGTACCTCTCTCCCAAGCACCCCACTAGCAGTCACAATTTTACTTACCCTCCTTTATTTTTCTTTATAGCATCAGTCAATATCTAAATAGAAATTTATTTATGTGTGTATTTATTGTTTTTTCCCACTGTTCTGTGAGACCAATAACCTGGTTTAGTCACTACTGTTTATTTTCAGCTTTTAGAATTTTCTCTGGTATGTAATAAATAATAAATATTTATTAAATGTATAAGTAAAAGAACAAATAAACTAGTTTGGCTGGTAAATTATTGAGAAGAAGAATAAATTTAAAATTATAAATAGTTTTTTTTCACTTTAACATTAAGCATTCTAATTTATCTAGTAGATACATACTTGGAAACATTCATTTTCCCAAAGAGTTTAAAATATAAAGTTGTATTTATGTCATATGCCTAAAGGAACAATTAATACAACTAAAGGGTTCAAACTAGTGTCTATAGTATAATGTGCCTTTAATAGTTGTTTATAGAAAAAAATGAGTAGATGAACAAACAAATTTTTTTAAAAAATTGGTACAATTTTTGTTCTTGAACTCCCAAAAGTATAATTTCAGGTCCATTTATTTATCTTATGTAGAGTTCCAATTGATAGGCAAATTTCAAAATGTAGGAAATAAAGTCAATAGCAACAGTAATTCACAAAAATTATCTCTCATTAACAGCTGTTTTACTGCAGGTAAACATAAGATGTTTTTAAAATAATGTTTTTTCAGGATGTCACTCTTAAGAATAATGTTTGCATGTATAATGAACAAAATAATTAATTTTTTACCAACTTCTCTAGTTATTATTATATGATCCTGCAAGGAAGTTATATGGCATCCTGAAAGCCAGTCATTGATCAGCATTTAAATAGTATATCACACCGGGAGGTAAAAGCATATTGTATCCGTAAGAAGTTTTAGTATACTCTAGAGTTACCTCAGGATCACAGAGTAATAAGCCAATAATGTTAAAAAGTTATGGCTAATTTAACTAATGGTTAATGGAGCCTAGTAAAACTGTCAGAGTTGATGAGCCTAGCAAGACTTTGTGCAGAAACACACATTAAAATTAGGGTCTTTTATCTCCTTCTAGAGTTTAATCGGTATCTGGAATGATGGGTTCCCATTGTAATAATATGCCAAAAATATGGTTTTTAAAATACTTTTAAAATTTAAGTGTGAATAGTCACTAACAAAAAGACAGAGATTTGTCACTGAGTGTATCATATAGGTCACAAAACCATTCTCAGTTATTCCCTAAGAAAGCATCTTTTTCTATGACTACTAGGGTAAATGGAACACTAATAAATATAAATAAGATTCTTCTTTCCTCTATAGTTTTAATATAAAGCAATAACTATATTTGTGATTCATGGAATGACAATAAAATGCAATTAAATGAACCAATGGTTGAAATGAAATGAAAGGGGATATAGAGAAGATAGATTTGCAGAAGTAAGGTTTCCAAAAAGATTAGAAAAAAAAATGGCAATATCTTCTAAACAACGGTTTTGAAGACTCTAGCTAAAGGGCAATGCACCATTATTTATGAGCTTCATGTTTTATTCATTTAATGGTTTGAGCTTATAGAAAAAAAATTTTCACAAAGCTAATGTTATAGAATAGACCCTTTACTGCAGGAAAACTCAGCTTCCTACTGTGAGAAATTCACTTGTTTTCAAAGTACCAAATTTCACTTGTTTTCAAAGTACCAAATGTAAGAAATGTATGAACAAATTGACTTACAGACCAAAGACACAAGAAAAACTCCACACAACAGGAAAAGTCTTTAATTCATCAGTTAGACTATCTCAGCAAGTTTGGGATGATTCCAGTTCACTAAAAGAAATTTCTTATTATAGGTATGTGGAATACAACTTTGAAAAATTTACTATGATTAAAATATTGAGAACAATTCGTGTAACCAGCACATTTGAAATAATAAAAGGATCTCCTTGGTTCTCTAGTTTCCACCATGAAAATAGGCAATGCCAAAACTTCAACTTAATGTATAAAAGGTATGGTATTTTCAATGACATGGCAGGATTCAAATTACAAACGTTAAATAAATCAGAACTTTTTCCAAAGTCATAATACAGTCTTTTAAACTCTAAAAGAGTTAGTCAAAAATAATTTTATAAAAAATTTAAAATATAAACTTAACGTATGATTAATTTCCACATGGAAATCATATATTTATGTAGTTGAACTTTGATTGTTGTATAATTAAAAAAGCTCTATGTCAAGCACTGTGGAGCAGTGGACAGTAATGTTTTTAATTTCCATTTTGAATAAGAAAAATTAGATATATTATAAAATTATATATATATCATGTAGTCATATAGATATATGCATATTTTTACAAATTATGCTATAGTAAGTTTAGTATAGGGTCAGCCTGTAAAAAGTGCTAGTATAGAGCCCAAATTTGCCCTCAGATTACAGTTAAGGAGAGGTTGATTCCAACAGGGAGAAACTGCAAAGCCACTTAAAGTAGGTGGACTTTAATGTAGATGGGGTAGGATTTTAAAAGTATAATATGATGGGAAAGATATATTAGGTTATTTTAACAATGACTCATCCACTCATTCATTTAACAAGACAAGTAGGGAATACTTATTCCCAGGGAGTAGAGTGTACACTGCAGATGCAAAAACAAATAAATTAGAAAAGGTATTTGCACTTAAGGTAATCATAGTTGAGGGAAAATGGCAGACAAATCAAAACTAAGCAGTTTAACATTTTCATTTCAATCATAAAACTACACGCAAACTATTACTAGTGGATAGAGGTGAAGATCACAACCAAGCTTCAAATTGTCTAATTAGATTTTCAGAGGATTAATAGGAGTTAGACAAGTTAAATAAATTTGTTCCAATACCAGGCAGAGGGAACCAAAGACACAATCAGTTTAACATGATATAGTCAACAATGTAAGAAGTCTGATGTTAATGGAGCAGAGATTATATGTCACGTGGCTTTGAGAAACAAAATGGGATGGATAGGTGTGGGAAAGACCATCCAGTAGCTTCCTGTAGGCTAGTAGATGTGAGGTGCACAAGGATGCAAGTGCTCATTTAACATGAGAAGGTGTATAGTTTAGTTAGTTAGGTGAAATGCTCCACTTGATGCTGAAGTCAGTGTGATTCTCCAACACCTTCTTTATTCATCAGATGACTATCCTGGCATTGGTTGTCTTTTGTACCTTTTACGGATAAGAATTACAGTATCCACTGTGTTTCTCAATAAATACTTGGTGAATAAGTGAATATTCGTATAATAAATGCTGAGATATTAGTTGGAGTATTTTTTTGGCCAACTCCAGATGAACAAACAATTTTAAAATCTCAGTGGCCTATAATAAAGCATTATTTCACAATCCTGGGCCTAAACATCAGCTGTGGTCTGATTGATCTTATCAGTCTTGGGTAGGCACAGCTTATTTACGGTTGGGTTTAAGTTGTATTGCCAATGCAGACAATATTGATCCCAAGAGGATAAAAATTGGTTCTTGGCATGTGTGTAGTATTAGTTATAACTTTTGGTCTTCCAAAGAGCCATGGTATAGAAACAAAGACATGGTATATCTATTAAGTCAAAATTTTATGGTGTGGGGGCAGTGGGAAGGCAATTCAGAATTAAAAAAAAAATGTCCAAAATGTCTTCTTTGAGAGGAGGAAATACTGTAAAACAAGGTAGAGAAACACTGGCTTAGGTTTTTCCAAGTAGTCTCATTCTATGATCCAAAATGAAGGGGCAATGTCTACCCACAGCATGCTTTTCCCTCAGGCAGAGACTAGAAGCACTGAAAAGCCAAGCCAAATCATTCATACACACTGAAAGCAAGATTCTGTGTGCTTTGTTTCTGCTCACTCTCCATTACGGAAAACAGATCACAGCCCAAAATTTAATGAAGTAAGTATGTTTACCCTACTTATTTTAGTAGGAGGCACTGTAAATTCACAAGGCTAAGGGTGTGGATGTATACTAGTGTTATAACCATGACTAGAGAAGGGGATACAATAATCTAATCTAACACAGATGAATTCTGAAGTTGTAGAATGAGTATAAACAACCTACAATGGTGCCAGTCTTTAGCACAAATATTTGGGATAACAATAGGTCAAAAAGTGGGGCTGAAATTTACAAAACAAAGAAGAGTTACTTTGAACAACTTTTTTTCCTTGAACTTGCATTCTAACTCACTGAACAAATTGCTTGCTAGTTAGCATAGACAGCATTTTGACTTTATTGAGCTTTTATGTAAGATCTGAAACATTTGCAAAATCTCTGTTTTAAGCTGCACTAAATATTTCAGAGTTAAATGACATAAACAGAAAATAAGAGCTCATGGAGCTTAATTTTATTAGCAGTTTTATTACTTAAAAACATATTAACAGAAAATGTCTATGGATAGCATGTTTCTATGACTGAAATAATCATACTAGCATGCATACATTACTATGAAATGATATCAGCAATAAAGTTTCTGGATAGTTTGCTCTTGTATCATGGCAGTAATATCATCACTAAGTTCTTCATCAATAGGGTGGAAATAAATACTTCATAGTCTATAAACTATAAAAGGCCAGTCAAGATGTATACATTGAAGAAAAGCAGCTGAAAGAAAGGATCATTAACTTCACTCATAAAAATAGTACCAAAAGCATTTTCACTGTGGACTTGGAAAAAGTCATTGATTATTAAAGTGAACATGTAAGCTATTCTAAATAAATAATAATAATAATAATAGTGGCTACATCTATAATACTAAAGTATCTTAGGAATTAAAACAGGATGAAACTAACTAAGAAACAAACAAACAAAAGTAACTTTTGTTTCCTTCAAATAAACAGCTCTGAAGGGGAAATTAACAAAATAAAAATGGTTTGAAATCAATCAATGGCTGTGAGTTAGAATGTGGTTAATCACGTAGGCTCTAATGTCAGTTGCCTAGGTTTGCATCTTAATTCTATTTAATTAGTCATGGAAAACTTCACTTACTTCATCTAACACTGAAGAGAAAGTATTCAACAAGTATTGTTTATTCTTATTTAATTGGTATCCTCAAATCTTCTGGAACAGGTTTCAAAAACTTTCTGTGTAAAAAAAAAACTTACATTAAGTATTTTCAGCTTTGTAGGACACAGGGTCGGTCACAATTACTTGACTGTCATTGTAGTGTGAAAGCAGTTCAGACAGCTCCGTCTGATGTTATATTTCAACTTCACTATAAAATACTACCAGCAAATACTATCCTTTTACTCTCAAAATTATAGATTATTTGATTAGCAGCTCTTCCTCCACCAAACTATCTTGTTTAGGTATACTTAGTATTGTGCTTCAATTTATCAAAGGAATAATTATTAAAACCAATTCATTGTATATTCCAGCAAAAAGTTAGCTGTCCTGTGAAATATGAGCTCCTCCTTATATAGTGGAGAAAGGTTCCTGGAAAGATGTCTAGTCAGAGATTATTTTTCTTTGTTTGCCAAGTTCCTTGTGGACATATGGTTGATTTTTAAATCAACAGAATGTGAATTCAATCTATGTGGGCAACTTACAAGGCTGGCCCATAAAAACGTCCCCACACACTTATTTCAAAAAGTCTGGGTAACACATTCCAAGGTAACCCAGGAACATACACGTGGAAGACTGCAGCACCTCCAGAGTCCAAATGACTGAGCAGAGCCTCCCTGCCAAAGAGCAGGAATATTCATATTGGACTATTGGATCAGTCGACAGTATACTTTTATATTTTAAAACACCTGAATTTTAAAGGCTTATTTGTTACTACAGCACATATTAAAATAACTAATTGACAATTTACTACTGTAGTGAGCCCATTCATAAAAAAACATTAATGTATGTAGCATTGGCTTGGAAGTCAGGTGGTAGTACCTGAAAAAGATCTAAAAAAATGGAAGGCCAAAAGATGACTGTTGTATTATACAAAATACATGGTAAAACTGAGCCCTAAAATAATGTAAAAGATGAAGTGCCTGCTATGTGAGTAGCTCTAGAAGAAATAACTGAAAGCTATAATGTTAATACATATTAATTGCTTCCCATGAATTACAGAAAGACAAGCTAGGGCAAACTGTTTGTTAATAGAAATGGAATTAAGTAGATTGACCAGAAATTCTGTTTTAAAAAATGCACTCTAAAAACTAACTGGCAAATAATGAGGTGATAAAAGGTGTTGAATTAAAAAAATAAAAACACATCCTGTTAATTTTTTTTCAGTTGGATGAAATGTTAAATAAATTCCACTTTTTTTCCAAAGTCTATTGTTTCAGATGCTTACAAGGTATCTGCTACTAAGTTACAGGCCCAAAGTAGCAAATAAATAATCATGCTTCAGAATTGCATCTAGGAAAAGAAAAAAAAACATGAAGGATATAGAAACTTAGCCTACTTTATTGTTTTAAGTGACTAAGAATCAAGAGATGTTCATTACCACAATTTAACCAATTATTCTTTACATGCATCTTTATTTTCATTACTGGAAAAAAGGACACAGACATATAGTGTATGATGTTTCATTGTAATAAGGCGAGGAATTCCATTTTCTCATTATTTAGGGGATGAAGTTATCTGCTGGGTGAAGGTCAACATAGTGGCTTAGCATATCTGAAGAGAGTAGAAAATACAGACATGACTACTATGTAGAAGAGGAGACAGTTAAATAGAAATAATAACAATTATAATTCCTTATCACGGAGTGATTGGCTATGATGTGAGCCTACAAGTTTGTAGAGATATCTTTATATTAATGTGTGTGTGTGTTGAGAGTCAGCAGCCTCTCTACGAGCACAGAAAAGGAAATCACTGGCTTGTTTTGAATTGGTATTTTCTCAGGCAAATATGAGGAAAAAATGTGAGGTCAGAGACAAGAGAGCAGGGGACATTCCAATACTGACATAAAAATAGATCAAGTGAAATAAACCTGAAGTTGAAATTAGGTACAGATGGAAGGGAAGATATGAATACATTTTTAAGTAAGCAAGACTCAAAGCAGTCATAATTCTGTAAAAGGTAAACAGTGTATTTGATACAATATAGAAGACAAATGGAAGGATAAAAGGTTGTGATCAGAAAATAAGCTTGGCTGATTTCAGATGAACAGCATTTCTTGAACGTTACCCAAGGGTGTAAGGTTATGGATCTGAAAGTGGTTTGAGCAGAAAGAAAGCTGACCCCTTCTTACATCTCTAGGACATGGAGGCAAGGAAGAATGAGCACCATGAGAGTGACCTGAGCACCCATGCTTTATTATTCTTCATCCCAAGAGTCAACTGATTTGACAGCATGGAATTAAAAATGATAATAAACTTACTGTAACAGAAAAATGCGTAAGAGGCATAACAATAGATTAGTGATTCCCAAAATTTACAAAAGACAGAGAAATATGAGGGCTTTTGCTTAATGGAAAAGAGAAGACACAAAAGATGATTTCACGCACATGAAGGTGCTGTGGTTGAGGTGGGAGCCAATCTGACTAAGAACTCATGTAGACTCAGTAGTTACATGTCTGTTCTCTTCTTTGCCCACACCCCTCCTCAACACTTCAATGTAGAGTGAAAGGCAGCCTGGCATTTGCATTTAACCCAGTCAAAACCCCAAAGGTATTAATAATTTGAAAGTGTTGCCAAGAGAGAAGTGGTGTTTCTGATAAAAAGTAAGTACTCTAGCAAAAGACCATCTCCCCATCAAAACACTTGAAAAAGAGCTGAGATTAAATGAGATTAAACCAATATGCAAGATGGCCCTAGCTAGACTTCTCTTCAGTCAGAGATCTATGGTGGGGAAAGATAAAATACACAGAAGAAAAGGAAATCTATAAGATTTAGCCACAACACTCAGCATAGGCTATCATTATTTAATATATTAGTAAAAGCAGTAACATCTAAGAGAATATAAAGATCATCTATTAAAAATGACCTTTAGAAAACCAAATTAAATTTTCTAAGATATTGCCTTCAAAAAATCAGATTAACAAGAAAAAGAATAACTTAATCAGAGGGCAATAAAAAGCTCTTAAAATTAAAAATATTTACTGAAAAAAATCAATATATGAGTGAACTAATAGTCATTTCACAAGGAAAATGTACCTAATGAAGTAGAAATAAAGACGGCATGTTGCATCTTAAAAATCCTACTTTTTCCATACTGAGAAGCAATAGATATTTTTAAATTTAAAAAAGACATAATGCATATTATTTAAGTTACAGTGGAAATAAAAACAAGTAAAATGGAAATTTTAAAAAATATTTAGTATATCAAGTAAATCTAAAGAGCAGAAGAGTGGGTTTGAAGACTGTACATATCTATTATAAGCATTTCTATATGATTTAATTGAAACAGAATGGCATAGAGGACCTCTGTTATCACACAGTTTTTTTCTGAGGTCCTAAAGCTGAAGACAGTGAGTGGTAAGTACCCATTCATATTCATATTTTCATGAGATTGGTTAGTGATGCACAGGATCCATTGGATAGTTATCTGATTCTTAGCCTATCACCCACTTTCTGGTTAGGAGAAAAAGAAGATGAAAATAAAAAGTAATTCAAAAGTAAGGAGACTATTAAAGTTCTTGTTGGACAGATACATAGTTTGCAAATATTTTCTCCCATCCCGTAGGCTGTCTTTTCACTGTGTTTATTATTTCCTTTCCTGTGTAGAAGCTTTTTAGTTGGATGTAACTTGATTTTTTCTATATTTTGCTTTTGTTGCCTGTGCTGTTGAGGTCTAATCCAAAACATCCTTCTCCATGTTATGTATTATTTCTCCTGTGTTTTCTTCTAGAGTGTTTTTTTTTCTCATTTGAGGTCTTACATTTAAATCTTGAATTTATTTTGAGTTGATTTTTGTACATGGTGATAAATAGGAGTCTAACTTCATTCTTCCACATGTGGATATTAAGTTTTCCCAATACCATTTATTGAAGGCACTGTCTTTTCTCTATAGCACATTCTTGGCACCTCTGTTGAAAATCAGTTAGTTATGGATTTGATTCAGGATAAGCAAACCCCAATACTGGGACTTAGTTCAGGAGGTTTCTTGGCCTTTCCCAGGGAAGAATTCAAGGGCTAGCTGGTGGTGGTGTTAAACAGCAGCTTTCACTGAAGCGTCACTGTACAGCAGCAGCAGAAGTACTGCTCTTTGTGGAGCAGGGCCACCCCATAGGCTGTGTGCCCAGAGTAGCACTTCAGAGGCAGTTCTGCAGTGAGAGTTATACTCACTTTTAATTACATAAAAATTAAGGGGTGGTTTATGCAGAAATTTCTAGGAAAAAGGTAGTAATTTCCAGGTTGTGGGGTCATTGCCATGGAAAAGGATGGGGACTTCTGGATATTGGCATGACAATGGCAAAGTGACATAGCCTGGCGGGCATGCCTTATGGGGAAATGTTTCTGTTCTGGACCTGTTTCAGCTAGTCCTCAGTTTGATCCAATGTCAGAGCCCCACCTTTGAATGGAGTCCTGCCTCCTACCTCAGATGTATTTCTGTGTTCTCTATCCTATTGCATTGGTCTATGTGTCTATTTTTATGCCAGTACCATGCTATTTTGATTACTATAGCTTTGTAGTATTCTTTGAAGTCAGGTAGTGTGATGCCTCCAGCTTTGTTTATTTTACAAAAGATTGCTTTTGCTATTCACAATCTTTTGGGTTGTTGCACAAGGAAAGAAAATCAGTATGTCAAAGAGATATCTGCACTCTCATTTCTATTGCAGCACTATTTACAATAAGCAAGATATGGAATCCACCTAAGTGTCCCTCAATATATGAATGTTATAGAAAATGTGGTTATATATGCCACATTTCCACATATAAACAAAATACTTTAGCCATAAAAAAGGAGAAAATGTTGTCATTTGCAGCAACATGGATGAAACCAGAGGACATTATATTAAGTGAAATAAGCCAGGCACAGAAAAATACTGCATGATCTCACTCATATGTGGAATCTGAAGATGTGTATCCCATAGAAGTAGACAGTATTATAATAATTACTAGCATCTTGGGAGGGTAATAGGAAGGATATGGAGATTGGTTAATGTATACAAAACAATTGTTAGATAGGAGGAACACATTCTGGTGTTTCATTTTATAGTAAGGTTGACTATGGTTAACAATATTGTATGTTTTAAAATAGCTAGAAAAGAGAATTTTTTTAATGTTCTCATGACAAAAATATGGTAAATACATGATGTAATGGATATGCTAAATACTTTGATCTTATTTTTATACAATATATACACGTATCAAAACATCACACTGTACCCCATAAATATATACAATTATCATGTGTCAATTGAAAACACTTTTTTTTAAGTATGGGAAGATTTTAAAGATTCACCAGCAGGTCAATTCTTTTTTCACAGAATTTTAGCATAAAATATCTTCTCTCCATGGTAGAAATATAGTGATGGTTCACTTCAAGAGTTTGTTTAACTCAAAAAGATGAGTTTAAGAGTTTGTTTAATTCAAAAAGATTGGATTTGTCTAGCAAATGGGATTGGGTTCTTGTCTCTGCACAAATGTTGAGCTGTAGAAACCTGTACACCATAATAATTTACTAGCTGAGAGTGTTTTAAGACTGTTATTCATGCACCCTAGGCTTTGGAAGCTACTATGAGTGACTCTCAGTAAGAAAAATCCTATAGATGAGAAGCTGTCTAATGCTGCTGAGGATACTAGGTTAAACGAGTAACCAGGAACGAGCCGTACCTCTCTTCAGAATTTTACCAATTTTGCAATGACCTTAATGGACACCAGAGAAGGAAGTCAGGCTGAGCCATCTTGACAGGACCCAGCAAAAGGGCTGCCTGATTGGTGAAGAAACCATGAAGAAAATGTTTCTGTGATTTGTGCTATTAGAGGCGGAATTGAAGAAGTATCACAAGAGGATATCCAGAAAATGTTTTTCCCACTTTATGAAATGGTGCAGTTATTCACTTAGTATCACCTGCCAAGACTCTGAGGAACCAACAAACATCTTGTGAGAGAAAGAGACAGCATCTTGGGTGGGAGCGTTATGTGGAGAACACTGTTCAAGACTTGTTCACTGTTCAAGTCACTTGTCAAATGGGATCTCGTTTTTCCCTTTTCCCTCTCTGTTCTATCCTGTCCTTGGGGGAACCAGAAGAAACTAGAACAGTAGGGGGAAAGGAATGAATGAACAAGACAAAAGGACAGGTCATTTGATATTTATTATCACCATAAATTCAGGAGCCTGGGCCAGTCCATAGCAGAGGAAGAAATGTGAATATTTAAGTGAGATGTGAGATAAAAGTATGATTTACATTGGACTGAGTTTCTTCACACCTGAATGAGATCTAGAATTCTTTGACGGGACACAGGTTTCTTCCCTTGCTTGGTTGCTGTTGGCAAAGAGGGAAACCAAACAATGATTAAGATAGGGTATCAAACCCCATTTCACATCAAGTAACATTCTTAGGATTTTTGTTTCCTTTAAAGATGAAGCAGCTTCCACATTTATAAACATTGAAATTCTGAAATCTTACATTTGAGTCTGTGTTCAACCATTTTGTTTCCTTTAAATGTTACTTTTGAGTCTTTTGATCTTAAAGACATTATTCATTCTCTAGATGTTTTGAGCCAGGGTTTGTATTTACATTATTCGTAGCTTCCCAATTTATCCTTTTTTATCATTCATATTCTTTCAATTAGCTGATTCCTTAGATTTATCATTCATCAGAATAGGAATAAAAGCACTATATTGACAATTTTGTGTGTGCATGTGTATTGTATGAGTGTGTTCCTAATTTTGAAAATCATTCATGTGTTGGAAAAGATTTAAAGGACACTAAGTTTAGCCAGCAATCCTATTCTAATTATTATTTTGATATCAATCCTTAGTTCTGACAGTTGTATCTCTCATGACTAGAACTTACTATTGTATGTTTTCAGATCAGTTTTATTTATCTATCCATTGATTCAACATATATTTGGTAAACTTCTTGTCAGCCACATGTGATACCAGGTAAACCAAGAGAAACATTTTGGCTATTATATAGAGGAAGTCAATACACAAATAGTAATAATTACAAACATGTTTTAAAAGAGTTTGTCATTTTAGAGAAGAAAATTTTAAAAAAATTAACAAAACATTTTGACTGCAGAACACACATACATCAGAAACTTTGTGGTGAGGGTCATCTTTGCTCCTCATAAGACAGAAAATGTATATATTCAGCAAACACATACTAAGGGTTGTCTTAGTTTGTTTTGTACTGCTGTAACAGAATATCTAAAACTGGGTCATTTATAAAGAACATAGATTTATTTCTTGTAGTTCTGAGTCTAGGAAGTCCAGGATCTAGGGGCTACATGTGGTGAGGGCTTTCTGCTGCAACATAACATGATGGAAGGCATCACATGCTGAGAGAGCATGTGAGAGAAGGAGAGGGCAGAATTGCTTTTAAGCAAACCCACTCTCACAGTAATGAACTCCCTCCTGAGATACATGAATCCATTCATGAAAGCAGATCCCTTATGATACAACCATCTCTCATAGGCCTCACTTCTCAATAGTGTTGCTTTGGGGATTACGTTTCCAACACATGCACTTGGGGGCACACATTCAACTTACGGCAGTGACTCAGGATAACTCAGATAGAAGGAGTCAACATATAAAGTGTCTTTCATCTTAGTCTGTTTAGTCCCTGTTTGGTTTAATTTTCTGACAAAAGAGAGATTGGAAATATGCATTATTTATAACACTGTGATAATCCTGACTTTAGGGGCATTACTACAAGTCAGATCAAAGCCAATACATAGAAATTTCAAAAATAAAACATATTAATGTATTTTAAATAAAATACTTGAAAAAAGTACAGTAGAATATGTTTATATTTCAGAATATTTGAGATCATGAACATTAAATTTCATCATACTTTCGGCAGGTAATATTGATCCAATTATTTATTGGAATAGAAGCCTTCTCTGCAATTTGCTGTTGTTCACATTTGTAAGACTTGATCAAGCAGGTATTAGTAAACACTTGTTGTATTATATGTTGCATATGAAGTTTGAGCACATTTATCTAACCTTAATATATCTCCTATCAAGTTTATATTTTTAAAATCTAGATGAGGATTATTGAAGGAATCAGGTCTTTATTTCCATTATTGAAGGAATTGGATCTTTATTTTTCTCAATCCCTTGGAAAGTTTAGGAAAATAATTTGCTCCTATTTCCCATATATTGACTAGTACCTTTCATTTTGCCTTTGCTTTTTAGAATAGTTCAGTGGTCCCTGACTGAATGTGTTTTTACTCTCTTGTCTGCTTGAAATTTTAGCAGTTTTTAATATATCTGTTTTAATAATAATCATGGAGGAAACATTATTAAATATAACAAATATTACGTTTATCTCCACAACAATTTAGTCATTTAAGCCATGCATATTTTGTATATTTTCATCTGCATCTCAGAAAACAAATCACCATCATAAAATCATACCTAGAAAAAAACATAAGCATCCTAAATGGTAGTCATTTCCGTCACAATTTTTGAAAACCGAGAAAACTGAGCTGGCAAATAATATCTTTTGAATTATAGAAACATATACTGCAGAAGTTTCCAGAATCTTTACCCTAATTTGAATTGATTTAAAATTTACAGTGGGAAAAACTCCTCTAGTAATATACAGACTCCATGTAAAGGATGTAAAAAATGACATGAGTCCTATAAGTTCATGTCACAGGGCTTTGCTCTTTTAGTCTGCTTTTGAGAATTCTCTGACAAATTGTACTAATTATGTTTATTGATGCACATATGTACTAATGAATATTATCTGTGGTCTTAAACATACCTGGCATAGGAAAAGGATACTTCTTCCTACTCCTTACGAGGAGGATTTGGTTTTACAAACTCATGTTCTACTCTGATGTGAGTAGAGAGGGCAGAAAACAAACTGGTGTTTAGTACTATGTATCCCAGAGCACCAGCATTTCCTTTCATAATGGAAAGACACAAGTGCATGTGTGCACACACATGTACATACACACACAAACACACAAGTGCAAATACATATGCACACTCCACGATCAATGTGATTGTGATTGAAAACATAGGCTGGACTAAGAAATTGAAATTTTCAAACCCAAATTTGTCCTCCTTGGAATGAGTTTTACCTATTGACTCTCCATATTTAATTTGTACCTTAACATCAGTCTATGTTCTCTCCTATAAAGGTGGAAGATTAAACATGTAGACTAAGGGAAAAGGAAGAGGAAGTGGAGGAGAAGGAGAAGGAAAAATCTGAGAAAGAGAGGTCTTATATCAGTGAGGTAAAATCTAACATTGCTTATTGTTATTTGAGTAAAAAATAGTTGTGCAGAGTAACAAATACAAAACAATTCAAAGCAAATTAAACACATTTGAATCCTCTCTGTCTCTTGGTGCCAAATACTTCTGCCTACCTTCAAGCATAGAGTTACCTCTAGTTTTAATAAAAGCTAAAAATCACTTTGAGAGGTAGAAATATTCAAGTTCTATACCTTTATATGTGTATTATTCTGTATGTATATTACGCTTCACTATGAACTTTACAGGAAACCATGTGAGACATATTCTACATAGTGATATTATATTTAGTAACATCATTTCCCAATAATGTGTTTACAAATCCTCTCAGTAATACTAAATATACATCGGACGTGTAAAAGAATTTTTTAAATTATCAATAAAACTTATCCATGTATCTTATTACATAGAATTGTTATCTACTTGCCTGCTACATGTTAGTTTATCTCTACTTGTTTTGTGGCTTCAAAGTGTAAGTTCTCAAATTGGCTTCATGTAATCAGGATCCAGAATTCTTAGCTAACTACATTCTGTACTTTATAAGCTTTGCCGATGTTAAAATTATTATATATGTACTTTTACCTCAATACATTTTAAATCTTCATTTATTTTCTAGTTTACATTTCATCATTAGCATTTAGCAAGCTCCATGACTTGAAATAAGTCACTGAGTTTCAAGTGTCCAAATAAAATCAGAAGGAAAAAATATATTGCCTTCCTGTGATGTTAAGATGGTTCAGAAAACAGAGCTGCCAAATATTATCTTGGTTTTGTTTTGTTTTGTTTTGTTTTGTTTGACTCCTGTCTCATGTGATACTACCACCTCAGCTTCAGGTGTGAGCCACTGTGCCTAGCATATTGTCTTTTGAATATTTGTCTTTCTTTTTTTTTTAATTTTATTATTATTATACTTCAAGTTTTAGGGTATATGTGCACAATGTGCAGGTTAGTTACATATGTATACATGTGCCATGTTGGTGTGCTGCACCCATTAACTCATCATTTAGCATTAGGTATATCTCCTAAGGCTATCCCTTCCCCCTCCCCCCACCCCAAACATGCCCCAGTGTGTGATGTTCCCCTTCCTGTGTCCATGTGTTCTTATTGTTCAATTCCCACCTATGAGTGAGAACATGCAGTGTTTGGTTTTTTGTCCTTGTGATAGTTTGCTGAGAATGATGGTTTCCAGCTTCATCCATGTCCCTACAAAGGACATGAACTCATCATTTTTTTATGGCTGCATAGTATTCCGTGGTGTATATGTGCCACATTTCCTTAATCCAGTCTATCATTGTTGGACATTTGGGTTGGTTCCAAGTCTTCACTGTTGTGAATAGTGCCGCAATAAATATACGTGTGCATGTGTCTTTATAGCAGCATGATTTATAATCCTTTGGGTATATACCCAGTAATGGGATGGCTGGGTCAAATGGTATTTCTAGTTCTAGACCCCTGAGGAATCGCCACACTGACTTCCACAATGGTTGAACTAGTTTACAGTCCCACCAACAGTGTAAAAGTGTTCCTATTTCTCCACATCTTCTCCAGCACCTGTTGTTTCCTGACTTTTTAATGATCGCCATTCTAACTGGTGTGAGATGGTATCTCATTGTGGTTTTGATTTGCATTTCTCTGATGGCCAGTGATGATGAGCATTTTTTCATGTGTTTTTTGGCTACATAAATGTCTTCTTTTGAGAAGTGTCTGTTCATATCCTTCACCCACTTTTTGATGGGGTTGTTTGTTTTTTTCTTGTAAATTTGTTTGAGTTCATTGTAGATTCTGGATATTAGTCCTTTGTCAGATGAGTAGATTGAAAAAATTTTCTCCCATTTTGTAGGTTGCCTGTTCACTCTGATGGTAGTTTCTTTTGCTGTGCAGAAGCTCTTTAGTTTAATTAGATCCCATTTGTCAATTTTGGCTTTTGTTGCCATTGCTTTTGGTGTTTTAGACATGAAGTCCTTGCCCATGCCTATGTCCTGAATGGTATTGCCTAGGTTTTCCTCTAGGGTTTTTATGGAATATTTGTCTTTCTTCTTATAAATGACATAATGAGAAAGTTCTCTGAGAAATTGAATTGGTAAACAAAATACAACAGAACTCATTCTCGCAGGCAATTTTTAACATATGTAAATAAAATCAAAATTTTGTATGTCTCAATATAAACAAGAGTTTCAATATTTGGCATAATAAGATTAGACTTTCAAATAGCAAGGTAAAAATGCTGTTATTTAAACAATTCCAAAAATAAGGATTTATGCATTTTTAGTGAGCATGGAAGAAAAGATTAAAGTGACTAGTTATCAAAAATTAAAAATTAAAACTGTATCAATACTAGGACATTAAATTTAAAATATTGCATACTTTTATAGTATTGTGGTGAAAAGATACAAATTTTATTAGTGAAAGTACTAAATCAATACAATAAAGCCATTTTACATTTGCATATATAATTTTTTTAATTTTGCACTAATAATAGGCTTACAATAAGTTTTTCATAACAACTTGGAGCAATATATTTTAAGAGCTCTCAAGTGTCTCTACGCCTTGATCCACTAATTTCACTGTATTAACATTTACAATGGGAAATATAATAAGCAGAGTAACAAAATCAGCAAATATATTCATGCCAATATAATTGATAATAGCTAAAATTTGGAACACAAAGATACATGAAAAAATGTACTTTTAAATAAATTCAATATATATGTAATTAAAAAACAGTTCTGAAGACTGCAGAATGAGGAAAATTCTTATGATATATTAAATATAATTTTTAAACTGACACTATTATTATCATAACAGCTATGGAAATATGCATAAACCTAGGATAAGAATAGGACAGGAAGGTAAAATTATACACTTATTTGTTAGGTTCTTGCTTTCTTTTTTTCCCTGTAATATAAATTGCAAACATCATCAGAGACAAAATCTATTGAGTGGCTGTATTTTAACAAGTGTTATATTTATATTATAACATTTTATTGATGCTCAGCTCAGGATGCAAATTAAAATTACAACTGACAACAGCTTTTTTTTTCTTTCTTAATGGGATATACAATTCTGGTTACTTTTCAATTGATGGGAATTTGTATTAAGAGAAATATTGCCTGTGGCTTACTAATTATTTTTTGTAAAATAAGTGAGCCTCAGAAGGATTTACTATTTTACTCAGGATTTCATAATCAGTTATGTGGCTGAAATGATATGTGAATCCAGTCATATCTAATTTCAAAGCCCTCTATTTGTCCGCCAAGAAGAAATGTGAAATAAATAAATCTGTGTAATAGATTCCATAGACTATTTTATCAAGAAGACATGCAAGGCCTGCCAAAATGAGTAATATTTGTATCTGTAACCTTTTATCTATATGTCTAAGGCATTTTCCTCTCAGCACACACATGTGCACACACATACACACACGCAGACACTCACACACACCATACACTTTTGTGCATATTTTAATAATTATTTTCAAGGCAAATTGAGAAAAGTATGCCAGAGGCTGCTGGTCACACATTTTTTTTAAAAAATTGTGTGATTCTCATTTATTTTATTCATTTCAAATCGCACATGCTCATACTTCTATGTTTCTACTTATAAGTATCTTGGTACTGCAATAATGTTATTTTTGAAAGCAAAACATACTTTAATGAATTGTCACTTAACTAATATAGTATCTTCTTAAACGTTGACTTTCCTGTTTATATTTGCTACCACAGCAACTTTGGTATATCTTTATTAAGATATTTGTAGATTTGAATCCTAATAATTATTTTGTCTACCTGTTTTTTTTTTTTTTTGGAAGAAGGAGAAATGCTTACCCACAAGCAATGACAGCAAAAAGATGCTCAATACATACATATTAAGTGAAATAATAATATTAGATGTTAATGTGCCTAACAATGGACTGCTTCATGCCTAATTTCAGTATGATATTATAACCTCAACCAAATATAAAACTAAGTACAACAAGTCTTGAAATTTATGTCTTTGGTGAAGTCTCTTAAAGGCAAGGATGAAGCAGAAATTCCACACAACACACAGCAAAGCTTTCCAAATATAATATTTTCTATCTTGTTCCGAATTCCCACAAAGCATACGTGTTGATACTAATCGTTTCTCTCTGGGTTAAACTCTAACTTATGCTATATTTTTCTCTATATAACTTAGTCTCTTCCTGATTCATTATCCATTTTGTGTGCTCTAGAAGAGTCCTGTGTTTTTTAAAATGTAAATTAATCTAGTCTTTCTTTCTAATTTTATTATACCAATTAAAATAAAATGCATGCACTTAAAAAGTCTAGATAACCAGTAGGCAAATAAAAAACAAAAACATTCTCAGAAAGCTCTCAGTGTGTAAAAGTATAAATGTGCTAACTTTTTATTTATTTTTTTTCTAAGTCACAGAATGAATGTAGAATAAATAGACTGTGCTATACACCTTTTATTTCCTTCGATTTTTAGGCCTAATTTTAAGGGGTCTTATAAATTCATGAAAAACCCTGGAATATATTTATTTTCTCTAACAAGGTGCCCAGTAAGGAGAAGTTGTTTTGTTTTGTTTTGTTTTGTTTTATTTTATATATTATTGTTGTCAAAGTGGATTTTTATGGGGGAAAAGAGATTTACTAGCTTTGGAAGTGACTTTACTAGCTTTGGAAGTGACTTTGTTTTGGTAAAATTACACTTTAGAAGCCAAAAGCACAGTGTTTTATTATTTGAAAAACAGTGCAAAGACAATCTGGAACCTGAAAACTGAACTAATCGTTTTTAATATAGTAAATTGTGTTTATATGCAATTTCTGATATGAAACATTAGAAGTATATTTCTCTCCAAAATAGATTTGGACTAGACTACTGTTTTCATTCACATAAATTTACCTTAATTTTGAAAAACTCAAACTTCTAACAATTTATTCTAAAATTTTAGGGTTACTGTATTTTGGGGCCTGGAGTTTAACCACATCCAATAGCTGGATATAAGAATGTTCACTGATGTATTCGTAATATATTTCTCCTTGCTTCATGACTGTTAGCACTGTCATTTTTTACTCCTACTCCTGCTGGAACTCAGATTGAAGGAAGAAAGGACGTTTTACTTCTAGAAAGTGAGTGCTGCACATAAAGCAAAATATGTCTAAGGGGCATGAGGGCTAGCCCCTGGACATTTCTAATTAGGGGCATGAGCTAGCCCTCACATATAAAAACTTGTTCAAACTAATAAAGATATAAGCCTAAGATTTTAGGGCCGTTTGATGGCTTGTACTCTGTCATCTTAGCAAAACTACATTCTCCCAAATTCCCTTGACTGAATAGTTCTGGTTTAGAAATGGCAACAAAAGAAATATGTGCAGGTCTTGGAAAGTAGAAGGAATTAGCATCCATTATGCCATCAGGGTTGATGTGGGCACAGAATGCCACTGAAGCTCACAGACATCTCTGATATACCAGTTTCTAAGTGATATGTATGTTCAGCTATGTGATAGAAGTCAGGAACAGTTCACTCATTCCATCGACATTAGAGGCAGCTAGAAACCAATGTGGGTTTCAGGTTGTTTTTGCTCTCTCCAATTCATGTCCAGCTTTTCTTTCCAACTGGCAGCTGTGCGGGCTTATTGCAACTTCAGCAGCAACAATCTGCCATGCTTTTCTTTGCCTATCTTTTCTTTCGTACAAAGCTTAATCTCTATAAAATATGCTTTCTTCCTTATCATCAATGGTGGTTCTGCTTTCCTAATGAAATCCTGACTGGCATATGTTTGTGGGATAATAGGACAGGCAGCTATGCTCAGCTTTCTTTTTTTTATTGTTTCAGAAATTTATACAATGTTTTAAATATACAATATGACCTTACAAAACTTGTAGGAAGTTAAGGGAAGCAGCTGGATTCATATATGAAGTAAAAAGTACAGAGAGTTCCAATTGCCTGGAGTTAAAGGTTAAGAAGCTCTGCTAAGTGGTTTGATAGCTTCAGTTAGCAACATGGAGAGCATATGAAAGGAGAGGCAATAAGAAAATATGAACATAGATATGTAGTACCTATAGGTGCTTTTATGAGTTTTCTATTGATGACATAAGAAATCACTACACATTTAATGGCATAAAAATTATTATTTTACAGATACAGAAGTCCTATACAGGCTTCACTGTATAGTGACACATCAAGGTGTCAGCCAGGCCACAGTTCTTCTGAAGGCTGTAGGAGGAAATCAGTTTCCTTCCCTTTTCAATTTCTATAAGCACCCACGTCTTTAATATATTAGACTGTTCTTGCATTACTATAAGGAAATACCTGAGGCCGGGTAATTTATAAAGAAAAAAAGGTTTATTTGGGCTCACAGTTCTGCAGGCTGTGCATGAAGCATAGTGCCAGCATCTGCTTCTGGTGAGGGCCTCAAGAAGCTTCCAATCATGCCTGAAGGTAAAGGGGAATGAGCATGTTACTTGGCGAGAGAGGGAGCAAGAGAGAGAAGAGAGAATTCCAAAACTCCTCCAAACAACCAGACCTTGCATGAACTAACTGAGCAAAAACACATTTATTACCAAAGGGATGGTGCTGAACCATTCATGAGGGCTTCCCCCCATGATCCAACTGCCCTCCCACTAGGCTCTGCCTCCAATATTGTGATCACAGTTCAGCATGAAATTTGCAGGAGCCAATATCCAAACCATATCACTTGCCATACGGCCCGCTTCAGTCATCTTCAAAGCCAGATATGTTGGATCTTCCTCTGACTTAAACCAGAAAATGTTTTTCCCTTTGGAGGATTCATGTGATTAGATTGGCCAACCTGGATAAACCCAGATAATCTTCCCATCTCGAGATCTTTAACCTTCTTCACACCCAGAGACCCTTTGCCATGTAAAGTAACATTTCCTCAGGTTTTGATGAGTAGGATGCAGACACCGTTGGAGTAGGGAGGAATTATTCTGCCTATCACAGTGTTCAAAGGATTCATATAAACCATTTACAATGAAGAAAATCTTAGAGAAAAGCTAGAATTCTTATCTGTTGTAGAAGACTTATGGTTTGAAAACACTCTGCTTCGAAATCTAATAAGAGTAGGACCTTAGACTTGAAAATTAACTTAAAAATTAGCAATAGTTTTCTTTGTTTTCAGATTTTTTTCCTAAATGGGGACATATTTATTATTTTATGTTGTTTTCATTATTGCTTTCAGTGTATAGTGTAAATGTACTTCAAGTCTTGAATGAGATTATAAAATCAGGGAAGTGAAGGAATTAAAATTTTAAAAATATTGCACATATTTCCATATAAAACCCTGTTTTATGTAAGTCAAGGAAAAGTAGTATTATCTTAATCTTTTTGTATATTTCAATTATTTACACTTTTATAAAACTAGTTAATAAAAAGCCTTTTATTTGTTCTTAATTGAAGAGAATCAATATTGTGCATATATTTGTAACTTCTGGGGCATTAGTTATAATAAGAATGTTACATTCATAATGAGCCGTTATTTTTATAATCTGCTATAACATAGGTTTGCCATTTTAAGGGGATAAACACATTCATCTACCAAGTAAATTGTAAGTCTTATATAATTTTGAACTCAACAGTTCTTGGATGATAACTTTAAAACAAATGAATATATATCCGTCTTTAGTTAACAAAAAGAGTCTTAATTGAATTTCATAGTGAAGACGTAAAATAAATGTGATTTTAATTTAAAATTTTAGGTAAATGACATGCAAACAACTTCCAATTTTCTTTAATAGCATTCCAGAGTTTTGCAATCTCAAAAAATATTGGATCAATCAATTATTCATGGAAAATTTCACTTTAAGTACTTTAAGCTTATGATTTAAACTAACAATTCACAAAAATCTAAAACAATGCATTTGAGGCCTGTAATGTTTTTCCAAATATAAATTATCTCTTTTATTTTTTCCAATAATGCCCTGAGGTGGATATTAAATGCAAAATTGTACAAATGAATACTATGAGACTCTAGAGTTTAATACACCTGCTCAGACCCAGAATTTTAATGACTTTAAACCTGGTGACTTTCTTACCACACCAACCATTTTAATTTTTCTAAGGAGAATCTGTTATGAGATGTCAGTCTGTAGCTCCTGCAGAGGCTGTGCTTCCTTTCTGGCATTCTTCTCTCATCCACTAGATGAGAGGAAGATGTATTTACTTTCTGTTTACAGTATGTTTCTCCTCTTATGCTATGTTTATCTTTATCTCCAATTTACTCATTGGATACCTCTGGGTCCTGAGTCATATAACAAAATACACTTTGTATAGATAATTCTTTTGTCTTCTTAACAAAAGTATTTTAATGCACACATTTAACTAAAAATTCTCTTCCGAGAGGATTTATAATATGCTACTGAGAGTTCAATAAATGAGAAGCTTGCTATTCATCAAGGTAACTTCATTTTTTTCTTTTCATTTTTTTAAATTGTACTTTAAGTTCTGGGATACATGTGCTGAATGTAAACATTTGTTACATAGGTATACATGAGCCATGATGTTTTGCTGCACCCATCAACCCATCATCTAGGTTTTAAGCCCTGCATGCATTAGATATTTGTCCTAATGCTGTCCCTCCCCTTGCTCCCACCCCCTGACATGCCGCCATGTGTGATGTTCCCCTCCCTGTGTCCACGTGTTCTCATTGTTGTACTTCCACTTGTAAATGAGAACATGCGGTATTTGGTTTTCTGTTCCTGTGTTAGTTTGCTGAGGATGATGGTTTCCAGCTTCAACAATGTTCCTGCAAAGGACATGAACTCATTCTTTTTTTTTTTTTTTTGAGACAGAGTCTCGCTCTTTCGCCCAGGCTGGAGTGCAGTGGCACTATCTAGGCTCACTGCAAGCTCCACCTCCCAGGTTCACGCCATTCTCCTGCCTCAGCCTCCCGAGTCGCTGGGACTACAGGCGCCCACCACCACGCCCAGCTAATTTTTTGTATTTTTAGTAGAGACGGGGTTTCACTGTGTTAGCCAGGATGGTCTCGACCTCCTGACCTCGTGATCTGCCTGCCTCAGCCTCCCAAAGTGCTGAGATTACAGGTGTGAGCCACCAAGCCTGGCCGAACTCATTCTTTTTTATGGCTGCATAGTATTCCATGGTGTATATGTGCCACATTTTCTTCATCCAACCTATCATTGATGGACATTTGGGTTGGTTCCAAGTCTTTGCTATCGTAAATAGTGCAGCAATAAACATAACGTGTGCATGTGTCCTTATAGTAGAATGATTTATAATCCTTTGGGTATATACTTAGTAATGGGATTGCTGGGTCAAATGGTACTTCTTGTTCTAGATCCTTGAGGAATTGCCACGCTGTCTTCCACAATGGTTGAACTAATTTACACTCCCACCAATGGTGTAAAAGCGTTCTTATTCTCCACAGCCTCGCCAGCATCTGTTGTTTCCTGATTTTTTAATGATTGCCATTCTAACTGGCATGCAGTGGTATCTCATTGTGGTTTTGATTTGCGTTTCTCTGATAACCAGTGATGATGAGCTTTTTTCATATGTTTGTTTGCCACATAAATGTCTTCTTTTGAGAGGTGTCTGTTCATATCCTTTGCCCACTTTTTGATAGGGCTTTTGTTTTTTTCTTGTAAACTTGTTTAAGTTTCTGTTGATTCTGGATATTAGACCTTTATCAGATGGATAGGTTGCAAAAATTTCCCCTATTCATAGGTTGTGTGTTCACTCTGATGATAGTTTCTTTTGCTGTCCAGAAGCAGTTTAGTTTAATTAGATCCCGTTTCTCAATTTTGGCTTGTTGCAATTGCTTTTGGTGTTTTAGTCCTGAAGTCTTTGCCCAGGCCTACGTCCAGAATGGTATTGACTAGGTTTTCTTCTAGCATTTTTATGGTTTTAGGGTTTACATTTAAGTCTTTAATGCATCTTGAGTTAATTTGTGTATAAGGTGTAAGTAAGGAGTACAGTTTCAGTTTTCTGCATATGGTTAGCCAGTTTTCCCAGCACCATTTATTAAATAGGGAATCCTTTCCCCATTGCTTGTTTTTGTCAGATTTGTCAAAGATCAGATGGTTGTAGATGTGTGGTGTTATTTCTGAGTCCTCTGTTCTGTTCCGTTGGTCTATATGTCTGTTTTGATAACATTACCATGCTGTTTTGGTTACTGTAGCCTTGTAGTATCGTTTGAAGTCAGGTAGCATTATGCCTCCAGCTTTGTTCTTTTTGCTTAGGATTGTCTTGGCTATACAGGCTCTTTTTTGGTTCCATATGAAACGTAAAATAATTTTTTTCTAATTCTGCAAAGAAAGTCTATGGTAACTTGATGTGAATAGCATTGAATCTATAAATTACTTTGGACAGTATAGGAATGCTTGTGATTTTTGCACATTAATTTTATATCCTGAGACTTTGCTGAAGTTACTTATCAGCTTAAGGAGTTTTGGGGCTGACACAACAGGGTGTTCTATATATACACTCATGTCATCTGCAAACAGAGACAATTTGACTTCTTCTCTTCCTATTTGAATACCTTTTATTTCTTTTATTGCCTGATTGCCTTGGCCAGATCTTCCAATACTATGTTGAATAGGAGTGGTGAGAGAGAGAATCCTTTTCTCGTGCCAGTTTTCAAAAGAAATGCTTCCAGGTTTTCCCCATTCAGTATAATATTGGATATGCGTTTGTCATAAAAAGCTCTTATTATTTTGAGATATGTTTTATCAATGTCTAGTGTATTGAGAGGTTTTAGTATGAAGGGATGTTGAGGCCTTTTATCAAAGGCCTTTTCTGCATCTATTGAGATGATCATGTATTTTTTGTCATTGATTCTGTTTATGTGATAGATTATGTTTATTGATTTGCGTATGTTGAACCAGCCTTGCCTCCCAGGGATGAAGCCGACTTGATCGTGGTGGATAAGCTTTTTGATGTGCTGCTGGATTTGGTTTGCCAGTATTTTATTGGGGATTTTCGCATCAATGTTCATCAAGGATACTGGCTTGAAATTTTCTTTGTCCTTGTTGTTGTTGTTGTTGTTGTTGTAGTTGTGTCTCTGCTAGGTTTTGGTATCAGGATGAGGCTGGCCTCAGAAAATGAGTTAAGGAGGAGTCACTTTTTCTATTGTTTGGAATAGTTTCAGGAAGGAATGGCACCAGCTCATCTTTGTACCTCTGATGGAATTTGACTGTGAATCTGTCTGGTCCCAGGTTTTTTTTGGTTGGTAGGCTATTAATTACTGCCTCAATTTCAGATCTTGTTATCTAGTCAGGCCTAGTCAGGGATTTGATTTCTTCATGGTTTATCCTTGGGAGGTTGTATGTGTCCAGGAATTTATCCATATCTTCTAGATTTTCTAGTTTATTTGCAGAGGGGTATTTATAGTATTCTCTGATGGTAGTTTCTATTTCTGTGAGATCAGTGGTGATATCTCCTTTATCATTTTTTATGGTGTCTATTTGATTCTTTTCTTCTGTATTAGTCTAGCTAGCAGTCTATCTATTTTGTTAATTTTTTGAAAAAAAGAAACAGCCCCTGGATTCATTGATTTTTTTCAAGGGTTTTTCATTTCTCTTTCTCCTTCAGTTCTGCTCTGATCTTAGTTATTTCTTGTCTGCTGCTAGCTTTTGAATTTGTTTGCTCTTGCTTCTCTAGTTCTTTTAATTGTGATGTTTGTATGTTGATTTCAGATCATTCTAGCTTTCTGATGTGGGCATTTAGTGCTATAAATTTCCCTCTTAACACTGCTTTAGCTGTGTACCAGAGATTCTGGTACGGGTTATCTTTGTTCTCATTGGTTTCGAAAAACTTCTTGATTTCTGCCTTAATTTTGTTATTTACCCAGTAGTCATTCGGGAGCAGGATGTTCAATTTCCATCTAACTGTGTGGCTTTGAGTGAGTTTCTTAATCCTGAGTTCTATTTTGTTGCACTGTGGTCTGCGAGACTGTTTTTGATGATTTCCGTTTTTTTATATTTGCTGAGGAGTGTTTTACTCCTAATTGCATGGTCAATTTTAGAATAACTGCTACATGGTGCTAAGAATAATGTATATTCTGTTGATTTGGGGTGGAGACTTCTGTAGATGCCTATTAGGTCTATTTGTGCAGAGCTGAGTTTAAGTCATGAATATCCTTGTTACTTTTCTGCCTCGCTGATCTGTCTAATATTGACAGTGGGATGTTAAAGTCTCCCACTATTATTGTGTTGGAGTCTAAGTCTCTTTGTAGGTCTCTAAGAACTTGTTTTATGAATCTGGATGCTCCTGTATTGGGTGCATACATATTTAGGATAGTTAGCTTTTCTTGTTTCATTGATCCCTTTACCACTATGTTATGACCTACTTTGTCTTTTTTGATCTTTGTTAGTTTAACGTCTGTTTTAACAGAGACTAAATTTGCACCCCGGTTTTTTTTTGGTTTTGTTTGTTTGTTTGTTTGTTTTTGCTTTCCATTCCTTGGTAAATATTCCTCCATCCCTTTATTTTGGGCCTATCTGTGTGTTTGTATGTGAGATTTGTCTCCTGAATACTGCACACCGTTGGGTCTTGAGTGTTTATCCAATTTGCCAGTCTGTATTTTAATTGGGACATTTATCTCGTTACATTTAAGGTTAATGTTGTTATGTGTGAATTTGATCCTGTCATCATGATGCTAGCTGGTTATTTTGTTCAATAGTTGATGCAGTTTCTTCATAGTGTCATTGGTCTTTATATTTTGGTGTGTTTTTGCAGCGGCTGGTACCAGTTTTTCCTTTTCCTATTTAGTGCTTCCTTCAGGAGTGCTTGTAACAAGCGACAAAATCCCTCACTATTCACTTGTCTGGATAAAATCATTTTTTCTTTTCTAGGAGATGCACAATGACTTTATATTACATTGTTAAAAAAAGATATGGGTGCATTTTACCTTACTCAAAATGTATTAGATTTAAATATTATATGAAATAATTTTAAATAAATTGGTAGAAACATATAATGGAATATTATTTAAATTTTAAATAAATTGGCATATATATACACACACACATATATATATATATGAATATTATTTAACCAAAAAATGAAATAAATCCTGACGTTTGTGACAGCATGGGTCAACCTGGAGGGCATTATACTAAGAGAAATTTGTCAGATTAGAGGGAAACAAATGCTATATAATCACACTAATATGTGGACTCTAAAGAAGTCTAATTCATAAAAGAAATGGTGGTTTCCAATGGCTGGGAGGTGGGGGAAAAGGGAGGTCTTGGTGAACAGGCGCCAACTCTATTTATAAGATAAATAAATTCTGGGGATATAATATACAACATGGTGACTGTAGTTAATAATTTTGCAAAAAAGAAAATATTTATTTTCTGAACCTATACAGAAAGTTTGCTGACCCTTATATAGCACTTCTGAGATTCAGTTAAAAGACAAAAGAGCAAAGAATATGAGGCTTCAGTGGTGTACAAAACTCCACATGTCTTTTGGAATAATAAAACATGACCTACTCCCTTATCTTGTCTACTGGACTGCAGTCTACAAGCTAACATTTAACTTCACACCACATGAGCTTTAATCAAATAGTAAATTGCAATTTCGAATACCCCTATCTACTCCTGAATCATTATCTAGTCCTTGGGTATTCTTGTTAAACATTGCCTCAGTAGATCATTGAAAGGACATAATGTGCTCTTTTTTGATTTCCAAGTTTGGGATAATTTTTCTTAATACCACTGAAGTAAAAAATTCAATCAATCCAAATTCAATCTTCTGGTTTCTACTCTGTTATCTAATCATATCTCTGTCCTAATTTCATTATAATTCGTTTTGAAGGCAGTTGCTAAGGCACATACAAAATGTATGAAACATAGTATCATAAAAATTTTCATAGAAATGATTCTTTCCTATCATTTTACTTCTCCATTCCTTGGGATATGACATTACCTTTATACTGCTGGCACTTATTTTATTCTTCATAATGTAGAGTTATTTGCTGCAGGTAAGGCTTTCTTATTAGGCTATAATATACTTTACATCATAGCAGAGTCCACTATTGTTAATGATTACTTCTTATTAAATTAGGTAGATCTGTAATGCACACTGAGTTAATTTTGGTAGATTTTTTTGATAAGTAATCCTGCATCATATGAAACAGTGTGACATTTTGTAGACAAGTAGCAAGACTTCTCAAGTCTCTACTTCAATTTCTTTAAGACAAGATTACATTTATTTGAAAATCTTTAACATCTTCCAGACATATTGTTCTTTTATGTCACACGTAAAAATACTTTTTTGTCTTCTTGTTGCCTACTGATGTTGAAACATTCTAAAAGTGTCTTTTTAAATATCATACCTCCTGGAGCAATGGAAATCATATTTGACCCCCTTTGCATTGCTGAAGCAAATACTACTATATTAGTTGGTTTTCATACTGCTATAAAGAACTTCCCAAGGCTGGGTAATTTATAAAGGCAAGAGGTTTAATTGACTCACAGTAACATGGCTGAGGAGGCCTCAGGAAGAATGCAATCATAGTAGAAGGTGAAGAGGAAGCAAGGCAGCTTCTTCACAAGGCAGAAGGAAGGAAAAATGCCAAGCAAAAGGGGAAGAGCCCCTTATAAAAATAAATCCGATCTCGTGAGAACTCACCCACTATCACAAGAACAGCATGGGGGAAATCACCTCCATGATTCAATTACCTCCACCTTGTCTCCTCCTTGACATGTAGGAATTATGGGGATTACAATTCAAAATGAGATTTAGGTGGGGAAACAAAGCCTAACCATATCAACTACTGTGGCTATTTGTTATTTTCAATTCATTATTTAGTTTTTTCCTATGACATGTATTTATGGATTCAAGTACCTATTGTTAACAACAATATTATTCTGCTGATATATGTGGTCATTGTTTCCACCAACGCACTAACTTTAATAACACGTTTAGGTAAGAAGATATGTGTTATTGTCAAAATAATTTTTATGTATCATTTTTCATAATGTATGAAAATACTAAACCATCAACAGATAATCCCAAACACCATAAAAATTTATTATGTTTTGAATAATATTCAATAGTTTTAAGAATCTTAATGAATATGGAATGTTGAGTTTCAAATTTTCATGTGCCTAGTAATTATATAGGAAACTTGTTATCATGCATAAGACAAATATCTATCTGCACCGATTTTAAGATTAGAAGCCAGCAAAGTATCCAGGGATCTACACTGCAACAGGTACTTAAGGAGAATATATTGGAGGTTGTCAGACCTCAAACTGATAGAAATGCTGTAAAGTATGCATTTTTATAAGATGTCGAATGAGAATTTGAAAGTGTTCCAAAATCTTAGAACTGTGCGTTAAGCTATATTTTCTTTTTATATTTAAGAGAGTGGTAAATACTTCCAGTCTTATTAGATTTAAAATATTTAATATCATACATCTATTGAACTGATAAGACATTCAACTGAATCTTCATAGGAATTTATTGGCCCATTCTATTTTCAAGAATGGAACCCCAAAAGTAAAATTATTTTCTTAGTTCTGCAGGTCAAAATGGAGAGCCAGAAGAACTCCTCTGTCATTTACCTGTGGTTCTATTTAGTATTGAAGGAGGGTTAATATCAAAACTAGATTCTTTCTGAGGTGGAATATTAGATCAGATTGAAAGAGAAAGACTAAATGAGTGTATCGAGTAAGAGGATATGTGAAATAAGAATCAGAAGCAAAATCTAGGCAATAAGACATGTGGGCCTGAATAAACAGAGGAGAGTAGGTTAGAATAAGTAAATGCATGGAATAAACTCCATTGATGTGGAAAGGAGTGTGGCACTGAAAGTTTAAGGGTGCTATTTAGTCTGTATAGGACGTGTGTGTGTGTGTGTGTGTGTGTGTGTGTGTTTGAAAGAGAAAACATTGTAATATTATAGAAGGTCCCATAAAAATATATCTTGAAGCAGTGGTACAGGCCAGGAAGCATGAGGGGGATATTACATATGGTGAATTTAAAAAGAAAATAGTCACATCAAACTTACTAACAGAAAGTGAACAAGCTAGAAGCAGAGAAGAGGCATCTATAATGTACTGAAGGAAAAATAAAGAACTAACCTAAAATTCTGTATTCAAAAATATCTTAAAAATAATGTCTGTGATTTTCCAGACAAGCAGATGCTGAGAATATTTGTTGCCAGAAGACCTGAACTATAAGAAATATTCAAGTAAGTTCTACAAGCAAAAATCTCATGGCACCCAACAAAACTCGAATCTACTCAAGTAACTGAAGAACGCTCAAAGCTGTGAAAAGTAAAGGTAAACATTATGCTTATTTTAATTGCTCTAACAGATAACTGACAATCTAAAGAAAAAACAGCAATATATTTTGGGGTTTATAGCATGCAAACGTAAACTACATGACTGCTCTGGGTGTAAGTTTGCTCCTTCACTTTCTAGCTGAGTACATCTTGGACAATTTATGTAACCTTCCCCATTTCAGTTTCCTTGTCCTTCAAATGGAAGTGAGAATGGTATCTACCTCACAGGACTGTTGTCAGAATAAAGTGAGTTAACAAATATAAATATCTTGAAAGCACTACTTTGTGTCTAGTAAGCTTAAGAAATTATGGTTTATATTAATATTTTTAGTATCATTTTATTACAGAGAATAAAATGTAAGATTAAACCAAAGTAAAGTGTGTTGAAGACCATGTTATAAAAGCCATAAATCCTTAAATTCATACAGATTTTTCACTTAGACACTGGTTCCACTATTACCATGATCACTTGGCAATATTTTTTATAAACAGTTTTCAAGGCCCCACTTTCAGTGCCACTGAGTTAATATGTCTAGGATAGAGCCCATTAATTTCTAAAACAGAACATACATAGTTGATTATAATGTAGTCTGCTACCATTCCTTGATAAAACACTGTACTTCTAATAGTTAAGGGCCATGTTTTCTGGTTTTTATCATGTTTTCTCCAACCTCTACCATAATTCTTGGCACAGAACAAACACTCGAAATTTTGTTTTAAATATTTTAATGAAAAGAGAGGTGGAAGGAGAAAGAAAAAGAGAGAAAAAATACTAAGATACATGTACAAATAAGATTGTTTACATGTAGAAAAACCAATATAATAATATCAACACACCTTTTGATATTGTCTATGCCCTTTGTCTATACCCTACCACCACCAAAACCAAAAAACAATTATTGATATGAAAAATGAAATTGCCAATTTACAGTATCAGACACTACGGAGAATAGAATCAAGACTCAAGTGGCCCTAAATAGGGAGAACAGAACCAAGACCCAAGTGACACTAAATTAACTGGATTACTTATAAAAAGGATGTGCTGTATCTGTCAGTTAATAGCTAATGTAAAATTCAGACTATTCTATTGAAATGCTGTAGTACACATACTTCCTCTGTAATTTAATCAGAAGTTATTGTTTTATATTTTAACAATAACAATGCAGGACACATTGAGAGAATAAGGAAAAGGTATATATTAAAGCAGTTATATTTCTTAGAGAAGCTGAGATTTAACCAATAAATGCAATCTTTATGTTATTATCATTTGGACAAAATTGCATTACCATTACCTGTAGAAACAAATCTCTTGCCATGATAGATCTTCCTCTTTTAAGATTCATTAGCACTTTGCCCTTCTTTTGAAAGCATTCATTTTACTTTAACAATTCTTTAAAAGATGTGTTATTTAACAAACTGCTAGAGAAATATTTACAGAAAACATAAACATCTTATTTGTAGCGGTGTTCCTAGCTCTAACAGAGTGCTGGTACATAGTAAACCCTAAATAAATATTTGTTAATTAAATACTTAATTAAATGAACTAACGGTCTTTGTGATTGGAATCTTTAGTTTTAAAAGTAAGGTCATGCAATGTGTATGTGCAGTAGGTTGACTTCACTGAAGTGACTTTTAGAATGATTCTAAAACTGTTCAGCTACATGTGCTTCAGACATAACTTTTTAAAAACGTAATTTCAAATTTTATTTTGCATTCAAGGAACACATGTGCAGGTTAGTTACAGGGATATAGTGTGGTGCTGAGGTTTGGAGTACAAATGATCCCATCACTCAAGATGTAAGCAGAGTTCCCAACAGGTAGCTATTCAACCCTTGCCCCATCCCTCTCTACTGCCTCTAGCAGTCTCCAAGACTAGTAGTCTTGTTCCTATCTTTATGTTTATGTATACACAATGTTAATCTCCCAATTATAAGTGAGAATATGTGGTATTTGGTTTTCTGTTCTTGCATTAATTCACTTATAATGGCCTCCATTTCCATCCATGTTGCTGCCAAGAACATAACTTTAAAGAGGACCTTTATTATTGTTCATAAACTTAATTTGGATTTAGAAATAAGTTGAAGCCATTGGCATCTTTTAGAGGGCTTTGATGTGTTTATAAATGCATGAGGAAAATTATATTGGAAGCAGTATTAAAGGAGGATGAGAGGTTGATTTCAGTTTCCTGTGAATAAATCCAGTTCCTCAGGTGTGAGATAGAATGAATGTCAAGCCATAGGAATACTTTAGAGAGACCTGAATGTTTAGGCAATTTGACAAAAATTGAGGGAAACTGGCTCAATCCTCTGTGGAAAGTATAGTGAATCTATCGCAAAACTGTTGATGAATGACCAAAGGAGATTTATGTAAACAAAGAGAAAAACCTTTGTTTCTATGTAGGAATGAAGCAGTAACCAACACTAATTGCAGGAATAGTAGAAGCTTAAGAATAATAGACTTTGATGTTTATTAAGTTACTAGCATTCAAATTTCTTTATTCATTTGAAAAACAGAACAAAAAAAGATTGAGCTCTTATTGTGATCAAGGAACTCAAATTAATAGAATTAAATGCATTTATATAGAATTAAATGCCATATATATACACAAATATATACATACATATATACACATATATGTATACATGTGTATATATACATATATACACATGTGTATATGTATATATACATGTGTATTATATATACACGTGTATATATACACACATATATGTATATACACATATATGTATACACATATATGTATATACGTATATACACATATGTGTATATATACACGTATATATGTATATATACATATATACTTTTTTTAGAAGCACAATTCAAAGTAAAGATATGTACCATCAGAAAATTGTGCTAGGGTCTGTGTAGATAAGAAGTAATGGAATTATTGGTGCATGTCATTGCATATACTCCTCTGCAAACCACTCAGATGCACCTTTCTGTCTGCTTTTCTCTTGTTACAGGGAACTTTGGAAGTATCATTCAAGAACCAATTTATAGATTTATAAACTTTTATGGCAGGAATGGACCTTCGAGGTTAGCCACTTCGCCCCTTGGTTATGGATTTCTCTGACTTTGAATAGGCATCAATAAAAGTATCTGCTGGTTGTGCCTCTCTCACACTCAAATAGCACTCATGCAGTGGGGACCTGATCATTAAGAAACACATGCATTTTGCCACCTTTTTCATGGGAAAGAATTTCAGCAAGGCAATGTAAATGATCTTGAGCAAAATGAAAATTTGGGAGAAGAAAATAATTTTGCATTAGCAATCTTAAATTATCCTTCCTCCCCACACTCAAAACAAAGAAAAATAGAAAACCTCTACTTAAAAATCCGTAAGTCTCCATATTGCATATGCCCTCTAAATTGAATTAATTACTTTGCCATCATAGACAAAAATCTGCTGAGACTTTTTCCTAAATTCCCTTTGGTACCAAATACTGATTACCTTGAAATAATTTATGCAACTGAATTGACACTCTATAATTTTAATTTATCATTGACTGTAATGGGAGGATGTATTTTGCTCTTTTGAATTACTATCTACGGTTATTTTTGTTCCTTTCAATAAAATTAGATCCTAAGAAACACAGCATCTTTTTTTTAATGTCATATGGATTTCTGATTTTATGAATTGGTGATTAGTTTAACTCTCCCTCCACCATCTCCTCACCAGGAAGCAAATTTTCCTATTATTGACAGAACAAATTCGTGTTTTTGGTTACGGTCATATATTCAGGGAAAACTCTCTGCGTTCTTGTATACCTAGATCCAGCATATGAAAGTTCATGTCTGTAATACATTCCTCCTAATATACCAGAACAAAACATGAGAAGGATGAAAACATGTAAGTTCTTAAAATTATTTCCTGGGATTCATCCATATTCTGCTAAATTTGGGTATGCACCCAAAGATGGAAAAATAGCAATTATTTATTGGTTAATTATATAACTCAACATCGTCCAGGAGTATGGGAAATTAGTAATTTTAAATGTGCTCTTTTCTTTTAGAAGCACTCTAGTCTCTATCTTATCTCTCATAACAATATGCAAAGCAGTATACATATGAAATACAGTAATATGTAGAGCTGGCATCTCCATTGCTTGGATTCATCTCCTCCTTGGATTCCCACAAAAATAACCACAGTTAAAATATTTTTCAACTTCTGCCTAAATATCCTATAAATATTCTTTAAACTTCATTCATTGTACATTTTTTTAAATTTTTGTACATCCCTTGGAAAACCACATATTCTTTGATATTAGGATTTGTGAGGTTTTATCATATTTATATTCCTATGTGTCTAGCATAGTGCCTGACATGTACCTGAAAATGAGTTTGTGCTGGTGAAAAAAAATACATGAATTTATACAGTAATGTTGTGAAATGATTAATCTATCAATACCACCTGATTAGTTTATCATTGATCCCTGAATAAAACAATATTTCTTCCTGTCCAACATTACTTGCTCTCTATGTGTTTTGAATCACATTCATCACTGCTCCTCAAGAAATTTTTTCATGAAGAACATACTTTCACACAAAGAAATGATAAATGTTTGAGATTATGGATATGCTAATTACCCAGATCCGATCAATATATATGTATTGAAACATCACTTTGTACTCCATGAATAAGTACAAAAAATAAAATTATAAAAGAACTCCTTCTCTCTACTAGCTCTTAAATTGCTCTTTTCAGTTTAGTCTTCATAATATTTTAAATGTTAATATCTTTTTTCATGTGAAAGGCTAAGATGAATCGCAGAAACAAAAGAAGAAAGAAACAGAAAGGAATGATGAAAAACTTCTGGAAATGTATACTGTTGATGATTGCACAATGATTATATATACTTAATATCACTCAACTGAGCACTTTAGCATGGTTACAATGGTAAATTTTATGTTATGCATATTTTAACACAATAAAAATAAGCCTATATAATTATTGTTCTTTAATTGTAATAAAGCCAATTTATTTAAAGTATGCATGCTACTGAAGAAGTTCCAGTCACTGTGCATGTCACTGAAAATCTGTACATATTACTAATTGATTTCCAAAGAGGAAATCATGTATATGGTTTTTAATACAGGAGGTTGAATGTGGCAAGAGCTTGATCTAGTTATATTGTTGGTATTCACTTAATAATTTAAGAAATAAAGTAAGTACTTGAAGTCTACCCAAAAGAGAGACACCATAATAATGAGAAAAATTGCAAACCATGGCAGGGAGAAACAACTAAAGTACCCCCATTTGATTACCCTGCCTTAGTGTGTATACGATTAATTGTCTTTAAATATAAAAGTGCTGTCATGTGGAGAAATAATTAAACTTGACCAAGGCAACTGTGCAGGGCAAAACTAAAATCGATAGGTCAAAGTTATGAGAAGATAAATTTTAAATCTCAGAAAATGAGGTGAGCTTCCTTAAGAAATAGTGATTTCCTAATCACTGAAGAAAATGCAAGAAATATATTAAGCAAAAATGTATTAAAGACACAATACATGCATAACATGAAAAGTAGGCCTGAAGATTCTCAAATAGGCTTCCATATCTGGAGATTCAATAGATCTGTGAACTTTCAACAGCTGATAATTTAAGCTTCTTTCCTCTGGAAAAAAGATGCATTTTACTGTTTAAAATTACTAGTTTTAAAATTTCATGTATAATAAAAGAAAAATAATTTATCCCTTTTAATGGATTTGAAAAAAAATCCCTTTCAATGGATTTGAAAAATATGTTTATGCTGAATGCAATAATATCTGCTGAATATAGCATTTTGTTTTGCCCTGCTCCACTCTTAAACGTGCATACATGTATACATACACACATGCACATATATGCACATACATATGCACATATATAAAGGTAAACAGCCTAGTTAGGAGTTCATAATGTGGCCAATTATACCTATTGATGTAGAAGTTTCATTTAAAACTGTCTCTTGTTATCCATAAAAGATATATTCCAAGACTGCTAGTGATTGTCTGAAATCAAAGATGGTAGTAAATTCAATGGCCTTTATGTTTCTGTTCATGTTTTCCATCCATACATTTAATGTATTTTTCATCTTAACTAAGTGTTTACCATGCACTGTGGCTATAACTTTTTCAGTTTAAGGTAGCAGAAACTAGCATGAATTTATTTTTCCTTCTTCACAATTTCATGGGTAGAAGATTTGTTCCTACCACAGATCTTAGCAACCTCAGAATATGATTTTTTTTCTTTCCTCATGAAGTCAAAAACCTTCACCTTTTCATTTAAAGAAAGCACTTTCTGGCTTCTCTTTTGCATACCCAAATTTCCAGCATCACTATTACTGCACTTTGGGGCCATTACTAAATAAAATAAGGGTTATTGAACACAAGCAGTGTGATACTGAAAAAGCCGATTTGATAATGAAGTCAGCTACCAAGTGACTAATGAGTGAGTGGCATATACAGTATAGGTACTCAGGACCAAAGGATGATTCACCTCCTGAGCAAGACGCAGCCGGTCACTGTGAGATTTCATCGTGCTACTCAGAATGGCCTGCAATTTAAAACATATTGTTAATTTCTGGAATTTTTCCTATAATATTTTGGACCACAGTTGATCACAGGTCATTGAAATCAGGGAAAGCAAAAACGACAGATAAGGGGAAACTACTATATATACACAATTTCAATAACTATGAGAAAAGAATTAAGCTCTTTTATTACCAAAGAAAAGAAAAATGTGTATTTTCTCCTAGAAAACACAGAATTTGGAGTTTCAGTTTCATTCAGAGAAGACTTGGTAAAACAAAATGACAATCTAAGTAATATTCAACCTTCACCAAGAGAGTAGCAGTAACATGGACTAAACCAGCTTTCCTTAGGCAACCTGCCTCAGTTGTTAGATTAAGTAAAATATTGAATGATGGCACAACTGTAGTTGTTCATAATATCCCGTATGGACTCCTGGCATTGTCTAATATGTCCAGTATGGACTATTGAAATTGTCTAGTATATAATGAAAAATTAGATATATTACATTGAAAGAGAAACATCCTGAAAAGTAATTAAAATTATAATCAATACTAATCTCCCTATTAATAGCCTGCTTAAGACAGGCAAATTACAAACAACTCATTTTTTTCAATCTCATTGAAAGTTGTATCTTTATGATTATGTCCCTGTAATATCTCATATTTACTTACTTATAATTATTGTTTTAATTTACTAAAATTACTTATTTCAGTGCTGGAATTAATTTCTTAAACCTTACTGCAGCAATGACTAATAGCGTTCTTGTAAATCTGAAGATATGTTTGAACATTGTGTGTGAAAGGCGATTATGAAAATGTCAACTTAAATTTGCCAGTTTTTAGGAGCTCAAAGATAGTCTGAAGAAGGTAAAATAGGAAAATGTTCCCCAATACATCTACATTGAACTCACATCAAAGGTCGGAATAAAAACCTGCATCATGAAAATTAACATGGCTATTACAAAATCAAAGTGGGAATTGCAATCTTTTCAGCTAGCAATCAATTTTGCTATAATCATGAAAATAATGCAGAACAGTAGAGCAGGGAGAAAAAATATTCTGGTCATCACACAATCTAGCTCAACATTAAAAAACAACAGCAATTCCCAACACTTTTCCAAACCATAACAATGAAGGAGCAGTCAGGAAATGTTCCTTGTTTCATGTTTGCAGCTACAGTAAAGCATTAGCCAATGAAGCTAAGATGTAACAATAAAAACTTAAAAGAAGAAATGACAAATATGATTTTGAAGAAATCACATATTTGTCTAGAAGATAAAGAAGGATCACAATGTAATTTAAACTCCCATACTTTGGGCCAATTTATTATCAAGTTTATTTTCCAAAACAAAGCATATGAAAGAAGTTCTCAAATCCAAGTGTTAAATTGAGTGAAATAATAATTACCACAAAATTAGGCACAGTTTGAGGTTAAAATATTAGACAAATGAAATTTCAAGAGTATGTTAAACTTTATGCAGGAATCAGCAAGCTATTGCCTGTGGTCAAGCTGCCTTTGTTAATAAAGTTGCATTGGGATACAGCCATGTCCATGTGTTTACATCTTGTGAATGGCTGTTTTTGATTATAGCAGTAGAGTAGAAGATTTGTGACAGAGACCTGATGGCCTGTAAAGCTGAAAATATTTACTATTTGCCTTTCTAAGGAAATATCGCCTTCTGCTTTAAATAATATCATTTTTAAAATGGACGTTGACTAACATGTATACAGACACATGCAAGCTCACTTGTCCACTTATAAGAAAAGCATAACTTTTTTGTTTTACACAGAACCAGTGTATATTGGTTTACAGAGAACCAGATGATAGGAACATAGTAAAGACAATTATCCTTTTCCAATTGACTATTCAGAATTTTATAAATGTACACAGTGAAATTCCATATAGCACATGCCTTTAAGCTACATTAGCTATGTTTGTTTTCCTCTTACTCTCCCCTTATATTTGTCTCACATCTATGCACTCCTTATTTGTGGCTGAGTATTAGAATTAGAAATTGAGATACCTCAGTGAATAAGATGGTCAAGTCAGACTCACAAGAATTGGAGTCTTACTGAGTATCAATCTATGCTAATAATTTCAATCATGCATTTAATCACAAGGCGCAGGAAGTGGTCTAGAATGTCAAAGTAGCTCCCTGTGCTCTTTTTCCACATTAGAATATACTTTAGTCAAAATTAGCATATGCAATCTGTAAGTGATGTATATAGACATCACACAGAAGGAAGCTATTTTGGTCATAAAGCATCTGTGTTTTATACTTCAAAGTTTAGCTTTTGTGATATTTTCCAGGTTAGTTGCATGATAAATCCTGCTAAAAGCATACCCTATAGAGCGGACCCTCTACTAATAAATTGCATAAGACTTTTGCATTTTTGTGTTTACCAGAAAGTTTGTCAATGGCTTATTTAAAAAGATTTGACATTATTTGCTTTCTTTCTTGATGATCCCCCCACAAAGAAGATAATGATTTGTAGTCATGCTGATAACACTTTGTTTACAACAATGTAAGCTATATTTATAAAAATAAGAGTATCATTATTTGGCTATACATATCAAAATTGAGAACTGAGACTGATCCTAGTAACAAACCTAAAAGTGAAACACACAGCATTGACTTCTTGAATTCTGATTCAAACACAAATACATGTAAATATACATATCTATAACTTTTTATAGCAAACTTTGAACAGCATTTGTTTATCTAAAACAAAAATCCTTCCAGCTATCTGGAGAATAGTTCAATACAAATTGGACCTAAAACCCCTAATAAGCAATGGAATAAAAACCAAAGGATTTCAAGCAGCCCTAAACCAAATGTGAGAAGCACTGATCATTTGTGCATGTCTAGCGTCCAATTTAAAATGAGGGATTGTTTTGAATCTTGTAGATATAGACTCAACCATGAAAACAGCAGTTTTGCTCAATTGCCCTGAGAAAATGAAGAAATGTCTTGAAAAAATAAAAGATTAAGCCAGAGTGCTATGAATGAATTGTTAATAACTTATGGGAATTGATTGGCTCATAAACGCTTCACTCTCTCATATTAACCACTTACTGCTGAGGAAGGTTTAAGTCCCATAAAATAGTTTGCATTTGGTTACTAGATCTGGTGAAGAACTAGGCTGGGAAGGCAGAACATATCTGGGAAGAAAAATGAAGCTTACTTTATGCACATTAACTAGGAAGAAGAAGCAGAAAGAGGAGGAAAAGAATGAAAGTGAGGAGCAAGGGGAGGGATACAGTTAGCACTACATTGGCTCTTGAATGGTGAGACAGATAATAAGTAATAAAAAAATAAAAACAAGTTTTTCAAATTATTATTATAAAATTTTAGAGCAATATTATAATATTTTATTATAAGATTATTCTATAAGATTATGAAGATATCACCTTCTGTTTTCTTCTGTTACAATTATGTAACTTTAAAAAGATGTTTCTGAGTATATAGTGTTGCTAGGTTTCAGCTGGTTTTTGCATATAAGGTGTCACTGCTGGAATTGTAGTTAAGTGTGAATCATCATTCTACAGAAAGAGTTCAGACTCTATAGTCAATGTGTCCTGAAGCATCACTTGCTCTATCACTTACCTACTGGATATCCTTGAGTTAATTTCTCAACTGCTCCAACCCTCAGATTCTACAACTGCATAGAGAGATAATAATAGTTCTTATGTCTAAGAGTTGTTCTTATTAAATGAAATGCTTTTTAAGTTATATGACACACAAAAAAAGCACACACAAAAATGGTGCTTACATTTAATATTATTCTTACTTAATTTTGCCATCTAAGGCACCATTAATTATGAAATACATTCAAATTTTGGAAATGTCAAATTGTAAACAAAAATATATGTTTCTTGATGGATACAAAAAGAACCACAATAAAATCCAGAAATAAAAACATTGCTGTAGGTCAAGCATCTTGGCCTAGAATTTTATGAAACTTGTAGGTACTAGTACAGGTGGTAACTTTAATCACTAGTCATTGTCTTATATTCATCACATAGTATTTCACTAAAATTTTTGTAACAGGTCATGATTAGAAGTATTTCATTTTTTTTTTTTTTGGTTCACACTTCAATAAATGTTACTCATCATTGCTCAAGGAAATATTTAATTTAAGAACAGTATTAATGAATAGACGAATGAGCTGTAGTTTTGTTCATAATAATTTATTTGTGCATACTTAGAAGCAGGAAAATAGACATACACAGGGCAAAAGAATTACTTTAACATCGGACAGTATTACTTAAACATGAAAATTCAAATTGTGAAGGAATATCTAAAAAAACATATTGTGTAAATTATCTATTTTTTGTCTGGAATTCGAGTAGTTATATAACATATGAAAATGAGAAAAAATGACACATAAATAAAATGAATAACCAGAAACAAGCTTCCTAAAGGTATTTCCAAATATGGTTTCATAAAAATAAAACAGAGTAAATATTAGCTTTCCAGAATTAGTAATAAGATATAGTGAATTAATAATAAAATTATCATTTAAATATACATAATTCAATAAATGCATGAAAGAGTGTGGATTATCATAGCTATTTGTAAGGTGAAAATAAAATAATAGCGCATCTCTATAATGTGATAGCTTAGCAGCTTCCCTTTGATGCTAAAAATAGAGTTAACTTCTCTTCTCCACTTGTATTTGAAGAACAGGTGAAGATAATGCTGACTTTCTGATTTAGACAAGAAAGACTGAGGAGATACCCAGAGAGGAGTCAAAATGGTCTCTGACGTTCTTAGGAATCCATCAATTCCAAATCTTGGTCCCACTCTCAGAGGAAAGTTGAAGGATAAAATCAAAGAAAAATATATATGAATAGCAATCTTGTTGTTAAATATATTTTGTCTATTCAAAATATTGGAAGTTTTCATCTTCCTTAAAGTGAAAAAAAAGTTTAGAGAGAAACAATATAGTTTTCACATTTTCTGAGGAAATGACATCTTCCTGGGTCACTCTGGGTATACATGTATTTTGTTAAGTAGTATTTTAGTCACAACTTAATAAATAAGTCAAATGAATTAAAACCATATCTGATGTATGAATTCACAATTAGGTCTAACAAACAAAAAATATGAAAAAGAGAAGACTTTTCCAAAAAGGCATCTTACATTGTTTAAAATTTTTTAAAAATCACAGGTAAAAAGATGTAATTTATTTAAGCTAGCCACTTTAATTATAAATGGCAGATCTATTTAGTCTAGAAACTAGAAATGGACCCAAACAGAAAACAAATAAAGCAACAAATGAATAATTTTACATGGGACATCTAAAATTAGCGTGGGACATCTCTGGAGTAGTAGCTGCAGGACATGTTATATAAAAACTATTTTCATATAGCTAGTGGAATGCCAAGGTGAATAGTTAAATTAGAATCATATAAGTAATAATCTCAAAACACCAAGGGAGTATTTTATTATAATTAGTGATGCAAGTTCAATAACTGAGCAGGTGTAAGAGTGTTAAGAAAATAGTGAACACACTAGTTTACCCTAAAGATCAAGCATGTCTAGCATTCACGATGCTCTATCACAATATATGTGTTGCTAAGGACTTAAAGATATAGTAATTTGTGGAGGAGCTTACATTTGATTGTACCATTACTGTGAATATTTTAATATTTAATGTAAGTTGGTAGCCTAATATCACAATGTAAATGCCCATGTGGCAAGCATAGCAGATAATGTGGTTGCTTGAAGCTGCAATAGCAGTATGTATTATACACTCTTTAATGGAAAAAGAAACAGTTAAATTATCTGCTTCTAAGGGAAAACTAAATGCCAGATAACATTTATCTTGCAAAACCTCTTGTTGAAGTGTGGCACAGAATTTAAGTTGCTCATTAGTCTTTTATTAGGGTAATCCAGTTTTCTTGCTATGAGGCAGACAACAGGATGCAGAAGTTTAAAATACATTATTTTTCCAGCACTAATAGACAAACACTTAATACATAATGCACTTAACATACAACGATTTACACAAATTACCCCCAGTTTCATTCCCAGCAGACATATCTTGGCATCTCATGAAAACAGAGATTGGAAACATCTGTGCTATTACTGAACAAATCTCTTCCTAGAAGTTGCTCTGTAGCAATACCATATGGAGAAAATGTTTTCACATTTCTTTCATTCATTAGACATTACATTAAAAGATTTGTACGATTACTAAGAAGGAATACAGGATGAAACAAATCTGCTTGTAACATATTTACAGGCATAGTTCAGAGATATTGTAGGGTCGGTTCCAGACCATGGCAGTTAAGCAATTATTTCAATAAAATGAATCACAAAAATGTGTTGTCTTCCCAGTGAATATGAAAGCTATTTTTACATTATATTATAATCTATTAAGTTTGCATTGACATTATACCTAAAAAGCAAGGTATACTCCTTAATTTAAAAATACTTTTATTGCTAGGAAATGCTAACAATCATCTAAACCTACAAGAGTTTTAATCTTTTTGCCAGTGGAGGGTATTGCCTCAATGTTGATGGCTACTGACTGATCATAGTGGTGGTTACTAAAGTGTGGAGTGTCTGTGGCAATTTCCTAAAATAAGACAAAAATGGAGTTTTCCACATCTATTTACTTTTCCTTTTACAGAAGATTTCTATGTAGCCGGCAATGTTTGATAGCATTTTACCCACACTAGAACTTCTTCCAAAATTGAAGTTGATTATTTCAAATTCTGCCACTGCCTTATCAACTAAGTTTATGGAATATTCTAAACCCTTTGTTGATATTCCCAAATCATTCCCAGCATCTTTCCCAGGAGTAGATTTCATCTCAAGAAACCACTTTTGTTGTTCATCTATACAAAGCAATTTCTTTCCATTCAAGTTTTATCATGAGATTCAGCAATTCAGTCACATCCTCAGGCTCCATTTCTAATTTCGGTTTTCTTGCTATTTCCACCACATCTGCAGTGACTTCCTCCATGGAAATCTTGAATGCCTCACAGTCATCTATAAGGGTTGGAATCAACTTCTTCTAAACTCCTGTTAATGTGGATATTTTTACCTCTTCTCATGAGTTACAGATGTTCTTAGTGACATCTAGAATGGTGTATCCTTTCCAGAATGTTTTCCATTTACTTTGCTCGAATTCATCAGATAAATCACTATCTATGGCAGCCATAGCCTTGAAAAACCTATTTCTTAAATAATAAAACTTCAAAGTCAAAATTACTCCTTGATGCATGGGCTGCAGAATAGATGTTGTATTAGCAGGCAAGAAAACATTAATCTTCTTGTATATATATATATATATATATACAATGTTATCTATCTTTCTATCTATCATCTATTTATCTACAGTTATCAGAGCTCTTGGGTAGCCAAGTACATTGCCAATGAGCAGTAATATTTTCAAAGAAATCTTATAAGCAGTAGGTCTCAACAGTGGGTTTAAAATAATCAGTAAACAATGCTATAAACAGATGTGTTATCATTCAGGCTTTGTTATTCCATTTATAAGGGGCAGGCAGAGTCGACTTAGCGTAATTCTTAAGGGCACTAGGATTCTCAAACTGATAAATTAGCATTGGCTTCAACTTAATGTCACTATATGCATTAGCCCCTAACAAGAGAGTCAGTCTGTCCTTTAAAGCTCTAAGGTCAGGCATTGATTTCTGTCTAGCTATGAAAGCCTTAGATGGCATATTCTTGCAATATAAGGCTGTTTTGTCTACATTGGAAATCTTTTGTATAGTGTAGCCACATTCATTAATTATATTAGCTAGATCTTCTGGATAACTTGTTGAAGCTTCATTTGCACTTATATGTTATGAAAATACATTCTTTCTTTTTTTATTATACTTTAAGTTCTAGGGTACATGTGCACAATGTGCAGGTTTGTTACATATGTATACATGTGTCATGTTGGTATGCTGCATCCATTAACTCATCATTTACATTAGGTATATCTCCTAATGCTATCTCTCCCCCCTCCCCTCACCCCACGACAGGCCCCAGTGTGTGATGTTCCCCACCCTGTGTCCAAGTGTTCTCATTGTTCAATTCTCACCTATGAGTGAAAAAACGTGGTGTTTGGTTTTCTGTCCTTCTGATAGTTTGCTCAGAATGATGGTTTCCAGCTTCATCCATGTCCCTACAAAGGACATGAACTCATCCTTTTTTATGGCTGCATAGTATTCCATGGTGTATATGTGCCACATTTTCTTAATCCAGTCTATCATTGACAGACATTTGGGTTGGTTCCAAGTCTTTGCTATTGTGAGTAGTGCCACAATAAACATACATGTGCATGTGTCTTATAGCAGCATGATTTATACTCCTTTAGGTGTATATCCAGTAATGGGATGGCTGGGTCAAAAGGTATTTCTAGTTCTAGATCCTTGAGGAATTGCCACACTGTCTTTCACAATGGTTGAACTAGTTTACAGTCCCACCAACAGTGTAAAACTGTTCCAATTTCTCCACATCCTCTCCAGCACCTGTTGTTTCCTGACTTTTTAATGATCACCATTCTAACTGGTGTGAGATGGTATCTTATTGTGGTTTTGATTTGCATTTCTCTGATGGCCAGTGATGATGAGCATTTTTTCATGTGTCTTTTGGCTGCATAAATGTCTTCTTTTGCAAAGTGTCTGTTCATATCCTTTGCCCAATTTTGATGGGGTTGTTTGATTTTTTTCTTGTAAATTTGTTTAAGTTCTTTGTAGATTCTTGATATTAGCCCTTTTTCAGATGAGTGGATTGCAAAAATTTTCTCCCATTCTGTAGGTTGCCTGTTCACTGTGATGGTAGTTTCTTTTGCTGTGCAGAAAGGCTTTAGTTTAATTAGTTCTCATTTGTCAATTTTGGTTATTGTTGCCATTGCTTTTAGTGTTTCAGTCATTAAGTCCTTGCCCATGCCTAGTGTCCTGAATGGTATTGCCTAGGTTTTCTTCTAGGGTTTTTATGGTTTTAGGTCTAACATTTAAGTCTTTAATTCACCTTGAATTAATTTTTTATAAGGTGTCAGGAAGGGATCCAGTTTCAACTTTCTACATATGGCTAGCCGGTTTTCCCAGAACCATTTATTAAATAGGGAATCCTTTCCCCATTTCTTGTTTTTGTCAGATTTGTCAAAGATCAGCTGGTTGTAGATGTGTGGTATTATTTCTGAGGGCTCTGTTATGTTCCATTGGTCTATATCCCTGTTTTGGTATCAGTACCATGCTGTTTTGGTTACTGTAGCCTTGTAGTATAGTTTGAAGTCAGGTGGCGTGATGCCTCCAGCTTTGTTCTTTTGGCTTAGGATTGTCTTGGCAATGCAGGCTCTTTTTTGGTTCCATATGAACTTTAAAGTAGTTTTTTCCAATTCGGTGAAGAAAGTCATTAGTACCTTGAAGGGGATGGCACTGAATCTATAAATTACCTTGGGCAGTATGGCCATTTTCATGATATTGAGTCTTCCTATCCATGAGCATGGAATGTTCTCCCATTTGTTTGTGTCCTCTTTTATTTTGTTGAGCAGTGGTTTGTAGTCCTCCTTGAAGAGGTCCTTCACATCCCTTGTAAGTTGGATTCATAGGTATTTTATTCTCTTTGAAGCAATTGTGAATGAGAGTTCACTCATGATTTGGCTCTCTGTTTGTCTGTTATTGGTGTATAGGAATGCTTGTGATTTTTCACATTGATTTTGTATCCTGAGACTTTGCTGAAGTTGCTTTTCAGCTTAAGGAGATTTTGGGTTGAGATGATGGGGTTTTCTAAATATGCAATCATGTCATCTGCAAACAGGGACAATTTGACTTCCTCTTGTCCTAATTGAATACCCTTTATTTCTTTCTCCTACCTGATTGCCCTGGCCAGAACTTCCAACACTATGTTGAATAGGAGTGGTGAGAGAGGGCATCCCTGTCTTGTGCCAGTTTTAAAAGGGAATGCTTCCAGTTTTTGCCCATTCAGTATGATATTGGCTGTGGGTTTGTCATAAATAGCTCTTATTGTTTTGAGATACATCCCATCAATACCTAATTTATTGAGAGTTTTTAGCATGAAGCGTTGTTGAATTTTGTCAAAGGCCTTTTCTGCATCTATTGAGATAATCATGTGGTTTTTGTCTTTGGTTCTGTTTATGTGATACATTACGTTTATTGATTTGCGTATGTTGAAACAGCCTTGCATCCCAGGGATGAATCCAACTTGATCGTGGTGCATAAGCTTTTTGATGTGCTGCTGGATTCAGTTTGCCAGTATTTTATTGAGGATTTTTGCATCGATATTCAACAAGGATATTGGTCCAAAATTCTTTTTTGTTGTGTCTCTGCCAGGCTTTGGTATCAGGATGATGCTGGCCTCATAAAATGAGTTAGAGAGGATTCCCTCTTTTTCTATTGATTGGAATAGTTTCAGAAGGAATGGTACCAGCTCCTCCTTGTACCTGTGGTAGAATTCGGCTGTGAATCTGTCTAGCCCTGGACAGTTTTTGGTTGGTAAGCTATTAATTATTGCCTCAGTTTCAGAGCCTGTTATTGGTCTATTCAGGGATTCAACTTCTTCCTGGTTTAGTCTTGGGAGGGTGTACGTGTCCAGGAAGTCATCTATTTCTTCTAGATTTTCTAGTTTATTTGCATAGAGGTGTTTATAGTATTCTCTGATGTTAGTTTGTATTTCTGTGGGATTGGTGGTAATATCCGCTTTATTATTTTTTATTGCATCTATTTGATTCTTCTCTCTTCTTTATTAGTCTTGCTGGTAGTCTATCAATTTTGTTGATCTTTTCAAAAAAACAGCTCCTGGATTCATTGATTTTTTGAAGGGTTTTTTATGTCTCTGTCTGTCTTTAACTCTCGTGAACCAACCTCTGCTAGCTTCAAACTTTTCTTCTGCAGTCTGCTTGCCTCTTTCAGCCTTATTGAATTGAAGAGAGTTCAAGATTAGGCTTTGGTTTACAGAATGTTGTGGCTGATTTGATCTTCTATCCAGACTACTGAAACTTTCCCCACTTCAGCAATAAGGCTACTTCACTTTTATATTACTTGTGTGTTCACTGGAATTAAGCTTTAATTCCCTTCAATATTTGTTTCCTTTGCATTCACAACTTTGCTGCTTGAAACAAGAGGCCTAGCTTTCAGCCTGAAAACTCAAAGAAGACTGAGGAAGGCATGTCGAAATCCTGTCCTAGCCTTCACATGCCTTCTTCAATAAGTTTAACCATTTCTAGCACTCGCAATTTTAATTTTAATTTTTAGACAGGGTTTTGCTCTGTTGATAAAGCTGGAGTACAATGGCATGAACAAGGCTCACTGCAGGCCTGACCTCCTGGGCTCACACGATCCTCCCAACTCAATTTCCTGAGTAGCTGAGACCACAGGTGTGTGCCACCACACCCATTTAATTTGGTTTATTTTTTTATTTATTTTGTAGAGACAAGACCTCAGCTATGTTTCCCAGCCTGGTCTTGAACTCCTGGGCTCAAGCAATCCTGCTGGCTTGGCCTTCTAAAGTGCTGGGATTCACCATAAACCACTACACCCAGTGCATTTCTCGCTTTTGATTTAACGTGCGAGACGTAACTCTTTCTGTCACTTGAAAACTTAGTGGCCATTGTAGGGTTACTAATTGACCTAATATCAATATTGTTATGTCTCAGGTAATAGAGAGGCCTGAGAAGAGGGAGAGAGACAGAGGAATGACTAGTTGGTGGAGCAGTCAGACACATTCGACATTTATCAATTAAGTTTGCCATCTTTAAATTGCATAGTTTGTGGCACCCCAAAACAATTCCAATAGTAACATCACAGATCACTGATCACAGATGACTAAAATAGATATAATATTAATAAATAAGTCTGAAATATTACAAGAATTACCAAAATGTGACACAGAGACATAAAGTGAGCACATGCTGTTAAAAAATGGCACTGATAAACTTGATCCAATGCGGGGTTGCCACAAACCTTCAATTTGTGAAAAACACCATATCTACAAAGTGCAATAAAGCAAAGTGTAATAAAACAAGTTATTTCTACATCCATTTATTTTCTTGGTGTTAATATGAGTATGCTATCATTTTTATCACTTTTGTATTCATTGTTTGTAAAAATATAGACTCTTTATGTTCAGAAAAAATTACAAAATATAAAGATCAAAAGTGATGTAACATCTGCTGTGTGCCAACCACTTCTCCAACCATTTTAAATATTTATAAATATATATTTTTATTACATATTTTATTTTATTTATATTTATTTTATTAAATATAAAATATTATATATAAATATATAAATTCATTCAATCAACACCTGAAATAGGTACTGTCATTTCCTCCCTTGTAACTATGTGGAACCTGAGGCATGCAGAGACTAAGTAGGCTAATAACTGAGAGCAACAGCAGGCAAGTCTATGTTTTTAATCACCATGTATTTGCTTGAAAGTAACAGAATGTTAATAAGTAATCGAATGGAATTCATATTTTGTATAAAATAAAATGAATTACCATTTTATTGACACTGATAAATATATGTGTGTGTATGTATCTGTCTTTAAAATTGTATCATTCAATAGTAAATTTTAAAACCCAATATTTTGTTATAAGTTATCTTCCAATTATTTGGTCAAATCCTGATTTTTTCAAAAATTGCATGCATAAACTTATCTTTCCAAATATTTCTAGACTAGGTAAGTATTTATTCATGAAGCCTATAAAAAATCTCTTTTTATTATTTAAACAATAACTTTTTAAAGTGGTTACATACAGTATAGAGTTTGGCTTAATTTGGCTTATTTAAAACAATGTTAGTTTTCACATTTCTGATGAGCAGTCTCATGCATTAGAAGTATCAAAAGAAGCTTCAAATTATAATTCAGCAATTTCTATAGTCTTTCTGCTGGTCTGTAAATTATGTTTTTCTTTGCTCCATCATTCACAAGTGAAAAAATATTTCAGTGTCAACGCTTGCACACAGTGATTTTTCTATAGTATCTTTAGCCATTATCTGCATCCGTGTATAGGCACATATGATAAAAGAAGGCACGGGCTATTAAAGTCTCTTCTGATAGCATTTCTATCTTGAGCTTTTCCCAACCAAGAGAGAATCTCTCAATAGTGTAAAGACCATGTTTCTGAATATGAAATTATTTCAGAGTGGTTTGAGCTGAAAGTAAAAAACAATGAGCAAAAACATATATTGTTGGAAACCAATGTTTCTCATAATTCAGTGAAAACAATTTGATGAATATAAATTGCCTTTTGACAATGCTGAGCTTTACTATAGACATTCGAAGTCATAGGACCACAAATCTTCAAATGTGACAAGGACACCAGGTAATTCTGATACAAGTTGTCCAGGGACTATGTTTCAAGAAAACTTCCCCTGACTAATATCTCTCAGTATATGTAACTCCCTAGTTCCTGATTTTAATGATGCCCATATATATTGTACAGACCACAGTAAGTGTTAGATATTCCTTGATGCTTGAAATTAAGCCTATAACTGATTGTACCACTCCCTCACTCTTGATAGAATTTAGTGGAACATTATAGTATGTGCTTACTCTGACAAGGACAAACTGGCAAAACTATGAGTCAAACTACAACCAAGTTATCGTAATGATCAATTCAGGGATCACAAGTCTTTATGTCCCCTTGCTGCAAAAGAACTGATTTCTGACTTCTTTTTCTGGTGTGCACTCTGGCGGCCATTTGTGGTAGCATTGATGAAAACCCAGCTTTTCCCCCTGCAAACCCCGTAGCAGCATGATCTGACTGTAACAAATGTCTATTGTAAGTAAAAGTAATTAATCTTCTTTGATTATTGCAATTGTAACTGTTGTTGCCAGTATTATATTTATTTTTATTTGATAGGCCCAAAAGAAGAAAAATTTACCTTTTGTTCCAGAGAGGAAGGAATCAATAAAAATCTGAGATCCACTCAGAGTCTAAAATAGATAAATCTCCATTGTGAGCTTTCTAAAGAGGTTGCCAAATTGCCTTCACATTGCCTATTTGTGAGAAATATTGTTCAAGTTTGCTGGAAATTAACAAAAGCAATTTAAGATAAATGAAAGAAAAGAAGGAGAATTACATTTAGTTGGTTTTACTATTTTCAGAAATCACATTTTGTAGGCAGTTTTTATTTAATTCAGAATTGTTCCAGAGGAAAGAAACAGAACTCATGTATATGAATTTGGAAAAAGAAATTTTCTGTCTGTAATGAATATAAAAATTTAGAATTAGAAATATTGAATTGTAACCAAAAAGGCTCGTTGATTCTCCTCTTCCTCTTACTCATCATTATGATGAAGAGTTAAGCCTAAATATCTCTAACTTAATTTGAGCAACTAACTCTATGTATGTATGTATGCACTTATCTATCTAACTATCTATCTATGTATGTAATCTATCATGTTTTCTTTTTCCAGTTAACATAATGAAGAAGAGCTCAAGTTGTTCCTGGATGTCATAGAATGTTTTTCTATTTTGGAAAGGAGTTAGACCTCTATAAGTCCCTTTTAACATCAACATTCTTTGGGTTAATGACCCTTCTCCATTCATGGTCTTACATTATTTGGGTCTTGCAAGAGTGTCAGTTAAACAGAGTGGATCAGTTAAGCACAATTAAGCTCAGTGGAGCTTCCATAATTTCCAATTTCCTGCTTACCATCCAGAAATAAATATGATCAGAAATAACAGTGTCTCTCTCTCTCTGTCTCTTTTTCTCTCTCTCTCTTCCTTTTGCTTTAGAAGTTTATATATAGCATAATAATATATATGCATATATAGCATATAATACATATAATATAGTATATATAATAATATATATGCATATATAGTATTCATTTTACCAACAAAATCTTTACCTACCAAATATTTCCGTAACAAAATCTTTAAAAATTCAGATAAAATTAAATGTATGCTTGAAGAAGATACCTCCTGCCACCTCTCCCCTTCGCCTTCACCCTTCTCTTCAGGATTTTTAATAACATTAACAAGAAAGGTATTCTCAGTATTCGGAGGCTTTTACACCTCATGGCTAAAGATTGTCTTGGGATAAAATTATCTGTTGCAAAGCATATAGCCTATAGCCAAGTGTTAATCTTGTTTTCCCTAGCATGCAGGTTACTTTCAATAAAGAGAAATACTAAAATTGAGTTACATCTGACATAAAATTTCTATAGAAAATGTACATTCTCTGAAGGATATTTTATTAATGCTGTATGCTCATCATCAAAATCTAGGTTTACCTTTGTTGGATTCATGTGTAAACTTATGTAGGCAGAGGAAAGAGTGGCATATACTCCTATGCTGAAATATATCAGTTTTCAAAGAATATGAGAGATTAAAAATGATGGTGTATATGTGAATTGGAATTTTTTTTTTTTGGTAATTTTCTGAGAGTGGGGAGTAGAGTAGTGAGTTCCAATTTGTATTTAAATAGCTCACCAAAAATAAGGTCACCTGATTCAAATTTATTCATTTTCATTCAGTTCTGAAACCAAAGACAGATCAGACTTAAATATTTACAGCTGCTATGATATTTAGAAAGCCACAAATATTTCAAATGTTTGTAAAATTGTTATGAATCCTATCCCATACACATTTTATTTTCAAAGGTAAAATAGTGATCTTATTTTTTACACAACTGAGGTGAATATTTAATTATTGAATTGGTCCAAAAATAGATGGTTGAGTAGAATTGAGAATGACCTTCATGCAATCATGATGACTTAAGTGTAGTCTCAAGAAGGAAAAAACAAGAAAAATTAAAAAGAAAAAGAAAAATCATTTATTAAAAAATTAAAATTTAATTAATGTCATTTATTTGACCTAAGGAAATTTTGTTGATGGCTGGAATGCTTGTACAATCTAGAGAGCCTCAATCAGTGTATCTCTGTTACTATTAGAGGGAGAGACCACTCAGTTGACAAAATATTTTGTTTTGTATATCTCTATTAAACAGATCCATATACATCAGACTATGGTGACTTGAAGGTAATTGCTATTAAGATTATACACAACCTTGGTTGTGGTGATGGTATCATGAGTATTTGCATATGTTCAAGCTCATCGAGATGTGTATATTAAATGTGTGCAATTTTTTTTAAATCTGGAGGAAAATATTTTCTAGTTTCCCTTGTTGTGATTCTACGGTTATCAAACAGGTCTTAGTGACTTTTTACTTACTCGTCAAGACAGAACGAGCTGAATAGAGACACAAATTGCCTAGTTTACCTTTCAGTTATATTTCTCACTCTAACTTAATAATCCACCTTCCAGTTTGTGCATTCACATATTGTATGTCTAGTTGATGAGTCAGTTCCCTTAAATGTATTAAACCCTGAGCCCATTGAATTTATAAATTTGTATGTCTGCTTTGAGTGACTCAAACTAAAATTACCACCTCCTGATCAGTGTCTGAGTGGCCAGCTGGTTTCTTTTTTAAGATCTTCATGAATTTCTCTCTAATTTTAACATAAGGCAGGTATGAAAATAAAAGGTCAGTGATTTGTTATGTCAGTACTACCTAAGAATCTTGGCTTGACACAAATATACAGATTAATAGCAGAAGGAATTTGGGCCAGGGAATAGCCAGATCACAGGGTTCAAAGAAATAATTAGTAAAAGGAATTAAGAGCAGTGAGAAATCAGGGAAATACATAAATATTGATAATAGGAAAAAAGAAAGTGAGCCAAAAGTAGATAAAACATCAGAAGTTAGGGAAAAATTTATGGGCTGTAAGCCTAAAAGATTCCATCCTTGACAGTAAGAAAGGAGAATGGTTATATTGAGTTAGAAAGTAAGATCTGAATCAAGAGTGATAGTCACCACACTAAATTCAACAATAATGTGAATGGAAGAGGAGTTAGAGTGGTTAGTTTTCAGAGTAAGGGTTTCTTAGAAAGATGGGGTGTAACTATTGGGGTTAAGGATAATATTTGTCTAAAAAGTGAGGGATGATAGCATCCACATATATTACTCATTTATTGCCATATTTTCCCTGTAGAAACCACTCATTCACTGATTGTACTGTGATGAGTACCTCCAAACCTCAATGTAGCTTACGAGGGAAGAGATACAGTGCAAACTCAGTGTTTTTCCTACTTGTGTAAGCTACAAATAGAAAAAATAAATACTTTGACCAAGAACTAGAAATTAAAATTATCTCAAGATTAGAGATGAAAAGACAAAGAAAAACGAAAACTCACTGAGATGTCTGTCAAAAAATGAGCATTGTGACCTATTGTGATATGCTTAATCTTTAAATTGGAGTCTTTTTAATCTAAAGTAATCTAGCTTTTTGTAAGTGCAAACTTCAAAATTTAGAGCCAGTGGAAACTTATTAATTTGTTTATTTCTTTGATTATCTTTTAAAGTCAAGGTGTTAATCTCTCTGATAGAGATTAAGGATATAAATAAGGAGAAAAATAATGAGAGATTGTTGGATGTCAAAATTTTTCCAAAACTTTAGAATTTGGTACTGAGACACAAAAATAAATCAATGAAAACTTGAATCTGCAGTTTTTCCTCCATCATTATTCTAGCTAGCATAGTGATTATTTTGAAATCTTAGCATTTTATAAATACATGAATTAAATTAACTCTTATATTTTTAAAAAAATGTAAATGTTTTATATGTCATCTGAAGCAATAGTCTATAGTCGATACTGTCCTCTTCCTTCTCTAGATAGGCAATATCAAATATTCCCCGTATGGCTCAACAGTTATTTCCTTTTCTCCCCACTACTTTCTTTCATCTTTCCTTCAACAAATATTGATTTTCTCTGTGAAGCCTGCTTAGTGCTGAGGACATAAATATAAATATCACATGGTTGCCATCATCAGGGATCTTAGGGCCTTACTGTAAGGGAAGACATACATACATATTGTAATAGTTACAAGAAAGAATGGGACAAAACTAAGAGAGTTATTCATTCTACTTGGAGACACCAGCAGAGGCTACTACAGCTTACAAGAGGTTGTAAGTATGTGAAATATAAAATATGAGATGACTTCTTTTTTGGAGCAGACACGAAAGCAGACAAAGAGCAAAGAAACAGGTGTGAGAGAGAATGTGTTCGTTGAACAACAAATAATTTGTTTTCCTTAGAACAGAAGATTCCCAGAAGGATCTGAGAGATGAAGCTGGAAGTAAGCAGAGTCGTATGAAGGAGATATCCATATATTACCTGAGAATCTCATTTTACCCCTTACACCTTGCAGATTCAATGACAAGTGTTAGGCATAGACATGTCATCATCATGCTGCCAATGTTTAAAGGTTAATTTGGAGGGCCTAATTAAGTAAATCTGAGGTCAGGGTCATATTTTCACAATTCGGGGAAAAGATGATATGGCTTGACCCAAAGCAGGCTTTGTAACTTCCTATTTACCAATTCAAACTTGATTTGAACCTTTGAATTAATATGAGTTACTGCTATTTTTGGTTAATTCGATTCATTGACATCTGAATATATGCAGATTAAATAAGGGAAGAGCCAAGCTACAAGAGCTGAGGGCCACTTCAATGTCACTTCTGTTTATATTATTGTATTTTGATTTTCTCAGCCATAGATTTCCTCTGTCTTTTCATTATTAATCCTCTATGCCCCTATATTGTGCCTTTATTTTTAATAATATAGGATTTTCTTCAACATATTTATATAAAGAAGAAAACAAGGAAAAATATATCTTAAACTGAATTTATATTTGGTCTTTTAAAAAAACTGAGCATAAAGAGATTTGACAATTGTGTTCATTCGTGCACTAACCCCCCCAAAAGAAGATATAGACTATTTCCATAACTCTAAATAATTCTTTTGTACCTCTTTTCAGTCAATCCTCTGAAAAGACAATTACATTCTGATTTTTCTAATCTAGATTATTTTTGCCTATAGTTAGACCATATATAAACTGAATCAGATGCGTATGTTCTTTTGTATTTGACTTCTTGCACTCAAAAATATTTCGGAAATTCATCCATATTTTTGCATGCACCAGTAATTCACTATCTTTTCTTGTTCAGTGGTATTCTGTTGTATAATTATATCATAATGTGCTTATCCTTTTTTCTGATAATGGACACTTGAGTTAAGCTCTAAGATGTTATAAATGAAGCACTTTGGGACATTGTTGTACAAAGATTATATAAACATACTTTCATTTTATTTCCTTGGGTAAATTCCTGACATTGAAATTTCAGGAATAAAGGATGAATGTATGTCTAAATACCAGAGAGTTCCCCAAAGCGATTGAAGCACTGTACACTACTATCAAAAATATATGAGAATTCCTTTTTTTCATATTCTTTCCACCATTTGTATTGTCAGTCTTTTTTTTTCTTTTTAGACATTTTAATTGATATAAAATAGAACCACATTGTAGTTTTTACTTCCCTGAAAACTAGTAATGAGAACCTTTTTATTGGTCATTCTTATAATTTGCATATTTTAATTAAATTATCTGACTTTCATATTTAGGGCACAATTTGTAAATAGATATATGTATTGCAAATATTTGTTCTCTTCTATGCCTGTTAATATGCCTGCAAATATTTGTTCTCGCTTGCCTATTAATATTCTTTATGGTGTTTTTTTAGAAAACGACCATATATAATTTTGCTGAAATTTAATGTATGCTTTTTCTTAGTAACTCATGCTTTTGTCACCTAAAAATTTTGCTACCTTCTAGGTAGAATCTGTATTCTATTAAACATTTCAAAGTCATTGATTCTTTCCCCTACTTTATCTAGTCTATTTTTAAATAAATTAAACCCATTCTTCATTTCTGACATTATATTTTTTTATTTCAGACATTTCTATTTAGTTCCTTTTTAGTATTTTCATTTCTTTGCTGAGAGTATTTTGGCTTTCACAAATATTGTTCATCTTTTCCACTAGATCCCTTCATGTATTTTTTATAGTTTAAGGCAGGGGTGTCCAATCTTTTGGCTTCCCTGAGCCACATTGGAAGAAGTATTGTCTCGGGCCACATGTAAAATACACTAACTATAGCTGGTGAGCTATAAAAAAAAAAGAATTGCAAAAAAAATTCCATAATGTTTTAAGAAAGTTTACAAATTTATGTTGAGCTGCATTCAAAGCCATCCTGGGCCACATGTGGCCTGCAGACTGTGGGTTGAATGAGCTTGATTTAAGGTTTTTCATTTTTCTTTCTAGGTTATATTCTCTTGTTCAGTTGAGTTACTTTTTATTGAATGCTAAACATTGATGCCTCTTTTTTTACCAGGCTCCCATTATAGAGGAGAACTATTAATCTCATCTACAGTTGAGCTGTATCTTGGCTTTTTGGCAACTATTTAGAAATAATTACCAGTGATAGTAAATGTTTTGAAGACACTATTACAAGCTTCCCTTCAATAGGGCTTGGGATCTCAGTACAAGCTGGATTACGGAAATCTCTGTATGCTTTATAGTTCACCTGCCAGCATCCTAAATCAGGAGAGAACTAGGCTTTCCAGCCAGTCAGCCAGTTTTGATGGTCACCAGAATGTTCTCCTTGTTCTTCAGTTCAGCCCAGATATTTTCGTCGTGCTCTTTTGCACCAGGCTGTTGGAAGAATGTAGCTGGGTACTTGGGTAAAGCCAAGGGTCCCTTTCAGTAATGTCTGTCAGCATTCCTAGCCTGCCTTGGCTTTTAGCCCACTATCCTCAGGAGCTCTGTTAACACCGGCAGGAAAAAGTGGGCAGGTTGGGTTCAGACTCACACTGTGAGTAGAGATCGTTAGTGTTCTAATTCACCAGTGCCACCGTGCATGACTGTTGAATGTTTGTTAAAATTAGACTACTTTCTCCTTAAACCTCTCTATGGTACTTTTCTTTTCTATTCACCTCTCTGTCAAAAATGGAGAGGTCCACTGGGTTCTTCTCTCTTAGAAAGAGGTTGTCACTTTCTTAAATTTCATTTATTTATGTTTCCTTGCATTGCCAGCTATTTGATTTTAAACATAATTTGGAAATAATAACTATGATGCTGACATTTACTCACTTTGTTCTAATTGTTAGTAGAAATGATGATCTGTTAAAACGTTCTACGTCCTAACCACAAGCCAAAGCCTGTTTTCCTTCATACCTGTATATTAAAAGCCAATAACTCTGTAGTGAATGTTAAGGATTAATTTGTTTCACAATTAACAAATATATACATTCATGTAGCTGACTGAAGAAAACCTATCACCTATAATCTATAGCAGATGTGTATAAATGTCAGAGTAATGAATCATTATTTCCGTAAGAACAAATCTTCAAATTTTCTATTTTCTTAAGAACAAGAACAATTTTCAAGGTGAAATTATGCATGTTGTATGGCATTACATTGCAGCCAAAGGCGCTGTGTACTTGTCAGTTGCCCTGCTAATACCTTCTGAAAAGCTGTCTATAACAACATTTATTTTGTTTTACAAAAGGAAAAGACAAGCAGCAAAGAAAACAAAACATTAGTGTCACATTAGTGTATCACTTTAGAGTTTGCCATGCTCTTTCAAAAAGAGTATTTTGTTTTCTAGTTAGAGACAACAAAAGGCACATATGATTGTTTTAATTTCACTGTGGAGAAAGTATGGCCTGGTCAGGTTACAGTACTTTCTCAAGGTCTTAGCTAGCAGAGGAGGTAATAATAACAGGAATTTAAATAATACTAATTAACTCTTCTGAGACAGCCAAGTGAAGAATAAATGAAGGGAATCTGCAATGTTTAATAGCTCTAGACATGGTTTGTGTGTTTTAAATAACTTTGTTTATTAAAACAAGTGAAAGTATTTCTGTTATTGATTTACATTTGGCTCTCAATCCGTAAACTCGTCTGATGGCTTTAATAGAAGAGATGTAAGTAATTATCTAATGTGTTAGGAAAAGATAAATGGAAAAAAATTTCTGGCTTCCTTTTCCTATGTACATATTGACTTTTACAATGAGAACTATTTCATCTCTGCCTACAAATTGAACCCCACCCCAGAAGACAAGAGGAATAATTAAACAGAACAACAACAACAACAACAAAAACCTGTCAATACTACTACTTTGAATTTGAGAATTTTGAGGAATTTGGATATTTGGGAGGCATGCCTAAAATACATAATTATTTTGTTTTGAGTAAATAGATTTATTATTATTTGAATTTATGCTCTAGATGTTTTTATTTGCACTTTAGAAAGAGTGTATATTAATTATAAAATACTATTTTGTTCATAACTCTGTTTAGAAAATATGTCATCCCATTTCTGTCATTAACTAAGGGATCAGACTACCGATCAGGGATTACAAGAAATTGAAAAAGGCCTAATCTCCTAGTAATACACTCAAACTATAAGTGTGTGAGTATCATTAAAATAACTAATAAATGACTATTGCTTTCAAATAACATTTTTATAATGCATATGTGCTAAGTTTATTTGAAATCATTTTGTAAGGAAGGTGATTTTATTATTATCCTGGTTTTATAGAAGAGAAAACTGAGATACAGAACGTAAAATGATTATCACTTTCATACAACTTGTAAGTAGAAAATTCAAGACTACTCCCGTTTTTCTGATCCCAATTCTTGTTTCCCCAAAGAGATTTTACAAAATGTAGTATCACCTTTTGTTCATTGTGCTATTTAGACCACTTAATTTGCATACCACCCCTCTTCTAAACAAAATTCTTGGCAGTCAAATAACTGCTTGGAATGTAGTTAGAGCATACCCTGGTTTATAGTACTGCAAGTTGAAAATACCTGAGGATATGTATATATTTTTAATACCAATTCTGACATCCCATCTCTAGAAACTCTGATTTAATTTACTTGTATTGTCTTGATTGCTGGCATTTTTAAAGCTCTGCAGAATTGTTAACTTCAAGGAGTAAAGAGAGATGAGAACTATGGTTTAGCAGTCAGAAGTTAGTATCAAGTTTATTTGTTTGTTTGTTGATTCTTTCTATCTATACACAGTAATAGCTCCACTCACATAACTAGTCCTACCTCAATAACCACTTCATTTCCATGTGTGAAAAAGTAATAAATTGTATATTGTTTAATATGGGGACTTATTTTCATGATTAAGTGCCCATATTATTTCTCATTGTTTGGGAAGTGTTTAAAGAGCAATTCCTTCTTTGACTCCAAGGAAGATAAATTTCTGTTTTGGTTTATTCTTATTCTTGTGCTTGCTAATACTTTGGGCTATACATTTTGTAGTTTATGTATGTGAAGAGAAAGGAAATGAAGAAACAAGCATATTTCTAAGGGAATTAGGAAGGCATAGATATTAATTTATGAGGAAGGAAATGTTGTGGCCTATACCAAGGGAGCCTGAAAGATTTAAGTGAGATATCTGAAAGACATACTTACATGTCCCATTGTTTGGAAAATTTGGTAACATTGGAGGCTAATGAGATATTATGGTAAGGATTACAGAATAGTTGTCTAGACATTGCTCAGCCTTCACTGGAGAGACTACCCTATCTCTTGTCCACAGCTATGTTGCCAGAGGCCTTCTAACCAGAGCGACTCCATTTTGAGTGAGGGCTAGGAAAATGAGGCTGAGACTTGCCAGGCTGCATTTTCAGAAAGTTAGGCATTCCTAGCCTCTAGATGTTTATGGTTAAGGAAACAAATTAATAACGTTTACTAAACCCAGACTTGGGACGGTGCAGTTATCCCGATATTTAGAAAAGAAAGGCATTCCTAATTTTGCTTTAACGATAATAATATTGATTCTTGCAAAATGTAGTAATTTAAAGAATTAAGCCTTTGTCACAAACCCTTGTAGTAGAACTCATCTCCCCATATATACAAGCACTGTACCCAGGGTGGATGTGTTCCTCCTCTTACTTTCAGAAACATCCTATTCTGTCTATGGAGTAGTTGTCTTTTCACCACTTTACTTTCTTAATAAACTTGTTTTTACTTTGCACTGCGGACTTGCCCTGAATTCTTTCTTGCGTGAGATCAAAGAACCCTCTCTAGGGATCTAGATTGGGAGACCTTTCTGTAACAATATTAGTTGATTTCCTTTTCTGTCTCAGACAGTAAATTTACTTTTTATAATATCTAGTCCTTCCACTATTGATTCAAAATATAAAATGTACTCTCTCGTTAAATATTACTGCAGTTCAGAAACATACATATTTTGTGGCCATTTTTTGGATAAGTAATCTAACCTGCTTAGAGAGATAAAATAGCTTTAAAAGGTTACGCCAATTTGATTGCGGATTCATTTACTTTAAAGTCCACTATCATTCAAACATATTAACATTTTAAATTTGTTTAAATTTTACTTATATTTTTAATAATTAATTAGTTATTCTACAACAGTAGAAAGCTTCCTCTTATTTTCAAACTTTTATTTTAGCTTCAAAGGATACATTTGCAGATTTGTTACATGGATAAATTCTGTGTTGTGGAGGTTTGGTGTACAGATGATTTTGCCACCCAGGTAATAAGCATAGTACCTGATAGGTAGTTTTTCAGTATCCATTCTCTTCCTAACCTGCACCCTCAAGTAGGTCCTAGTGTCTACTGTTCCCTTCTCTGCATCCATGTCTAATCAATCTTTAGCTCCCACTTGTAAGTGAGAATATGTGGTATTTGGTTTTTTGTTCCTGTGTTAATTTAATTAGGATAATGGCCTTCAGCTCCATCCATGTTGCTGTAAAGGACATGATTTTGTTCTCTTTTATGACTGTGTAGTATTCTGTTTTGTATATATACAAGATTTTCTTTATGTGGTCTACCACTGATGGGCATCTAGATCTAGATTGATTGCATGTCTTTGCTATTGTGAATGGTACTGCAATGAACATATACGAGCATGCATCTTTATGGTAGCATGATTATTTTCCTTTGGGTATATACTCAGTAATGAGACTGCTCAGTTGAATAGTAGTTCTAAATTATGTTCTTTAAAAAATCTCCAGACTGCTTTTCACAGTGGCTGAAGTAATTTACATTCCTACCAGCAAGATACAAGTGTTTCCTTTTCTCTGCAACCTTACTGGCATCTGTTATTTTTTCACTTTCTAGTAATAACTATTCTGACTAGTGTGAGATGGTATTACAATTTGTTTCTAATTTGCATTTCCTTAATGACTAGTGATATTAAGCATTTTTTCATATGCTTATTGACCACATGTATGTGTTTTGAGAAGTGTCTTTTCATGTCCTTTGCTGATGTTGTAATGGGGCTATTTCGTTTTTGTTCGTTAATTTGCTTAAATTCCTTACAATTCTGGATGTTAGACCTTTGTCAGATGCAGAGTTCGCAAATGTTTTCTCCTATTCTGTAGGTTTTCTGTTTACTTTGTTAATAGTTTCTTTTGCTGTGTAGAAGCTCTTAAGTTTCACTTGTCGAATTTTGGTTTTGTCGCAATTGCTTTTGAAGCCTTCTTTATGAAGTCTTTGCCAGAGCCTATGTGCAAAATGGTAGTTCCTAGATTTTCTGCTAGAACTTTTATAGTTGCAGGTTTTATTTTTAAGTCTTTAATCCATCTTGAGTTGATTTTTCTATATGGTGAAATGTAGGAGTATAGTTTCAATCTTCAGCATATGGCCAGCCTGTTATCCCAGCACCATTTATTTAATAGGGAGTCCTTTCTGCATTGCTTATTATTGCCAGTTTTGTCTGGATTCTTGTTATTGTCAGTTTTTCTGGGTTCTCTAACCTGTTCCATTGGTCTATGTGCCTGTTTTTATACCATGCTTTTTAGTTACTGTAGCCTTATGTTATAGTTGAAGTCAGGAATATCATGCCTCCAGCTTTGTTCTTTTTGCTTAGGATTGCCTTGGCTATCTGGAATCTTTTTTGGTTCCAAATAAATTTTAGGCTAGTTTTATATAACTCTGTAAAAAAAAAAATGCCATTGGTAATTTGATAGGAATAGCACTATATCTGTACATTGCTTTGGGCAGCATTACCGTTTTAACAATATTGATTCTTCCTATCTATGGGCATTGAATGTTTTTCCATTTGTTTGGGTTATCTTTGATTTCTTTCAGATGTATTTTGTAATTCTTGTTGTAGAGGCCTTTCACCTCACTGGTTAGATATACTTTTAGATGTTTTATTCTTTTTGTGGCTATTGTGAATGGGATTGTGTTCTTGATTTGGCTCTCAGTTTGAAGGTTATGATGTAAAGAAATGCTACTAATTTTTGTACACTCATTTTGTATCCTGAAACTTTGCTGAAGTTATTAGATCTAGAAACTTTTAAAAGTGCGTTCATGGAACAATATTTTGTGGAATGTTAATTAATCTTTTAGGATGATTGTTTTGTTGTTTTAGAGATTCCCAATGCCTATAGCATAGTTGTCAAATATTCCACAGTAAAATATTTTAATTTTGTTTCAGTTTTACAGAATATTCAGTCACATTTGTAAAAAATAGTTTGGAAGCTTCCCTTAGGGAAAAAAGCATGTTTCTTTAGTCTTACCATTCCTTAACAGATATGTCAGCCAAGTCTACTTCTGCAAGAGGCAGTTTATCTAGTTCCTGACTGTACTTGGTATTGTAGTCCATCCAGCCTCTTCCCTTGTGATTAGATCAACATAGTAACTCCATAATAATTTTATTAGTGTTATGGATATCCATTTAACTCCTGACATCTTCTTTTACCTGTAACTCCTCCTACCCACGGAGAGCCTTGAGATTCTCAATTTACTGACTTTTATTTGCTTCTTTCTATGCTTTATGTGATTGGTGAGCATTTATTTATTTCATACTTACCACTATCCCAGATACTTTGAAATATTTGTGAGATTAAAAAATTAAAAACATAATGTTTATTCCATACAAAATAAAGGGGATATACCGGAAAAATAGATCCATTAAAAGACAGGAATGTAGAACAAGGCCAGTTAAAACAGATAGAGATTCAGTGAAGGCTTCACAGATGAGGTAATGACTCAAACTGAGATTTGACATATAAATTAAAATGCCAAGTTATAAGTTTGAGGAATATGGGTGGAGGAAAGAGAATAGAAAAGAAGAGATGAGAGAAAGAGATAAAGAGAAAGGTCAAGAGAGGGAAGGAGATTTTACTGTAATTTAAGTAAGTGGAATATGGAAACATATGATATTTCAACATAAATATAGGAGTAATAGAAAACAAGGGATAATAAGTAATCTTGGTGTGTTATAAAGTGGACCTCTGTGATTTCTGTCTTTCCTGTATCTGTTCTTTTTTGTGTGTGATAATATCACCGACCTATCTTTTAGAAAATTTCTCCTTCTCTTTGTTACATCTACTAATTATGGAAGCCCCTTCTACCCAGAAAACTTAAATCATGACAAACTATTTCCTTCTCAGTTATAAAGCAAAACATATATTATTTTTCCTCAATAATTTTGAAATATAAAGATATTATATCAGAGCTAAGTATAGCAATCATCTCTGGTACACAGTAAAAGCCCGCAAGAATGACAACAAAAATATTATTAACATGTTTTTCCTTTCTATCATCATCATTATTATAATAAAACATAACTATAAAATTAATTTGTATTATTACTGGCACTAAATTGAATTTGTATTAGATTTATGTAACTTGAAATTAATGGTATCCAGAAAAACTCACCACACAAGGTGTCAGTATTAAGAGATGGAACTCTTAGGAGGTGTTTAGATAAAGGACTGAGCCATCATAAATGGGATTAGTGTCTTTTTAAAAGAGGCCCCAAAGAGTTCCCTGTTTCTTCTGGCATGAGGACACAGCAAGAAGATAGTCATCTATGAACCAGAAAGTAAGCCCTCACCAGGCAGAGACTGCCAGTGCCTTGATCTTGGATTTCCCAGCCTCCAGGGAGGTAAGAAATATATACGTTTTGTGTTTATAAGCCACCCAGTCTATGGCATTTTGTCACAGCAGCTTTAAATGAACCAAAATAATGGATTAGAGAGTAAAATTGTAAACCAGATCCCCAAGACCAGCTGAAGTGGAAGATGGCTTCACTATTGAGGATTATGCATTGGATATTCTAGTGACCCAGGATTGTCTTTGTAATTAAAAAAAAAGGAATTATATTTTTCTGATGCTGCCTTAGCCTAAAAAGTACAAGTGATACCTTCTCTCACGTACAACTTTTGCCCCTCAAACTGACAGACTCCAAGAATCCCACTCATCTTAAAGCAATACCCGATTTTTAAAATTATATTTTAAATTTCAAGGTTTTCCTTAAAAAAACTTCCTACCCAAATTTTAGAAGTCGGGAGACGTTTAAAAATAGTCTATTTCCCCATTACACATTAGTAAATTATGGAAAACAGTGCCTAAAAAATAATTGAAGAGCAATTTTGAAATCAAATCATAAAGTGGCCCATAATGTCAATTTTCACTGTTTACCCTCTTTACTAGATACTATTTTTCCTCTCTAAATCTTGAATGGCCTTTAGAAATTTTCTCTTCACCCACTATTCCACAATTTATTTAATTAAAATTGCACACATTATTTAATTTAGTTGAGTGATTAATTCCTTGACTTTTTAAATCTCGTATTTAAAAAAAGTTATTAAAAGAAGCAGAAAGGATTGGATATACTATTTCTTGGCAACCTTCAGTCAATAATGATTATTTTTTTCCAGTGAGGGAAAGAATCAAGAGAGAAGGTGGCTACATGTTTTCTCCTTTTGTAAGTTAAAATATTTGAACTATATATAATGAGGAATTGAGATTATTATTCTATTCCATCTTTTAAAATTCCACAGAAAGCTAGGAGAAGTTGTGAATATATTTCTGGGGTTAGATAACAAATCATTACAAAGAAAAACAGTAAACTGAAGATAAATATAACATTTTATTTATTTCCAAATTCCTGGTGCTTGGTGTTATGCATAGACAACATCGATTGTTCAGTATAAATGTATTGAATTACCTTCATACAAATTCTAGACAACAGTCTCATTATACATTATTTGTATTGTTCTAAGACTCCATAATATGAATAGAATTTCTGCACTAGTTATTTTAGTAGGACTATGCTTATTAACAATGATACCCAATTCAGTTTTCCATTAAATTGGTGACTCAAAATTTGGTTTCCTCCCGGCTGTGCTTTCATTGCATTATAATTTTACAATTCAATCCAGTTATCTTTGAATTTAATTTCCACTATACAACATTATAAAACAGCATAGAGCAATTACATTTAAAAATTAAAAAGCGTCTTAAGGCGCCAAGAAGATATAAAATTCTCAAAATGAGTAGAAAACATCTTTAATCAAATTACAAATGATAGCAAATAATTTGTCCCAGTATCTTTTATACTTAAAACACTGTTATTTCTAAAAAGAAACAAATTAAATGAATGGCCTAAAAAAATCTTAATGGAATAAATAAATTTAAAAAAATTCACGCCAAAAAACTATACTTCATATTGGACATTTATTTCTATATTAACTATCAACTCAGCACTGACATGTTAGAATTATAAAAAATGTATAATTCAAATAGACAAACTAATTTCACATTGAGTTTGCTTTTATAAAAATATTTTCTGTGTTCTGTGAAATTCTTCCAATTAACATTGAAGAGTACAAGAAAAAAACATACTGGCTCTATAAATTTCAGATAATTAGTATCATCCAAACTGCTGTGGCATTGTCTATTGATCTCAAATTATAGACTTGTAAATAAAATATTAAGATCCTGTTTTCATTGTTATTTATATTTGGGTTTCATATGTATGCCTTCAAACTGTACAAAGATTTCTACTTATTAAAGTCAATTTTAGGAGCATCTTATATTCATGAAAGTTTCACACATGAATCAGGTTTAATTATATTTATCCATGTCCTATTCAACTAATGCTAAAAAGAGCTACAACAACAGACTAAAATGCTGCATATGCTAGAGTAGGTCAATTTTTAGAATGTTGGTCTCCTTTATATAGGAGAGAACTATATATAAAACTATAAGAGAAATTATAATTTGTAGACAAAAGTGAGGTAAAAGAAAAAACTTATTCTCATGGAATTTAATCAGCAATCAGAGCAAAAAGGAGACAACAGATCTCTGTGTAAAGTAAGTGACTTTCCAGAAATCATGAAGGACAAGACGAAATATGGGATTAGAGGATATTGTATTGTTTCTGCTACCCTATTAGGCTGACACATATAAAATTAGATCAGTGCTTTTTAACATTTTATTATCAGAATTCCTTTCTACTCTTAAAAATGTTAGAGGACCAGAAAAATTACTTTTTAATGTAGTTATATTTTTATCTGACTAGAAATTGAAGAAATACTTAACTTTCTATAAAATTAAAATACAACATAGATATATACTAAATACAAATAAATACAATTTAGCATATTTATATATTGATTTATTTAAAAATAAAAGCAATAAGTACATTATATGCTTAAATACTTTTATATTTTTATAAAAAATACAGTTTTTTGGCAGGGTGCAGTGGCTCATGCCTGTAATCCCAGAACTTTGGGAGGCAGAGGTGGGATGATCACGAGTCCAGGAGTTTGAGACCAGCCTGGCCAACATGGTGAAACCCCATCTCTACTAAAAATACAAAAATTAGGCCGGGCGCGGTGGCTCATGCCTGTAATCCCAGCACTTTGGGAGGGTGAGGCAGGCGGATCATGAGGTCAGGAGATCTCGAGACCATCCTGGCTAATACAGTGAAACCCCGTCTCTACTAAAAATACAAAAAATTAGCCGGGCGCAGTGGCGGGCGCCTGTAGTCCCAGCTACTCGGGAGGCTGAGGCAGGAGAATGGCGTGAACTTGGGAGGCGGAGCTTGCGGTGAGCGGAGATCGCGCCACTGCACTCCAGCATGGGTGACAGAGCGAGACTCTCTCTCAAAAAAAAAAAAAAATTAGCTGAGGGTTGTGGTGCAGGCTTGTAATCCCAGCTCCTGGGGAGGCTGAGGCAGGAGAATGCCTTGAAGCCAGGAGGTGGAGGTTGCAGTGAACTGAGATCATGCCACTGCACTCCAGCCTGGGTGACAGAGCAAGACTCCATCTCTAAAAAATAAAAATTAAAAAAAAATACATTTTTCAAAATTAAAAATTAGTTTTGAAATGGAGGAGTGGTGTTTTATAGTTTTCCAAATCTCTTTAATGTCTGTATTAGTAGAAAATAACTTTATTATTTTACCTGCTTTTTCAATTTTCTGTGATATGTGGCATGATTTAGACTCTGGGAAACTCTTATACTTGTCAAAAGCAACAGTAAAAGGAGAAAATAAAATATCAATATTAGAATAAAAATAGGTTTTATCTGTGTACCAAGGAAAGCATATAAGGAATCCCTAGGGGTCCCTGGAACACACTGTGAGACTTAGATAATTGGTTTTCAACAATGATTGCCATGACAATTAGGAGTAAGCCTTGAAAAGATATAGATGCTCCAGACAATTCCTCAGAATGATTGATTTAATAGGTTTGCAGAAAGATCCAGACATAAGCAGTTGTAAAATCTCCAGGGTGTTTCTCATATGCAACTAGGATTAAGACCTAGTCCCTCTGATAAATTGTGTAATGAGACATGTCTTCATCTGAATATTTTGCATCTTTATAAATTTAGATAATCATCTATTTCCTCTTTAGGATTTTATTTTGTGGGATTATAGATATTTAAAATATACATTTTATTTAATATAAAATTAGATACTACTACAAACATACTGGTGAAAGATTGTTCCAATGACACAATTTTTCTCAGTGAACAAATAAGAAAAACTGTACGTTAAACTCTTTTTACAAGTATAGAAGTGAATGATTTGCCAGTCAAGTAAAATCTAAAGTTTGTTCAGCATGGCCAGAAAAAGTAAGTCAGGCAGAAGTACAGTTCTTTCTTATGATTTAAATTATAAAGATGTTTCAATGGCAGAAAAAAAATGACAAGTAGCTGATAAAGACAATTGTGCGCTAGCATTATCACTCACAGCAGAAAGAGGGAAGAAATAATATTAAGTCCATGAGTCTTTGCTATCTATTAGGGCCCATATTTTTGTAGCTATATTCCAGCATGAGAGATAACATGTCTTTTGAATATAAGATGTAAGAGAGGTGCAGTAAAGCCATGATTTCTCTTTTCTAACATATGCAATGATTAATTAAATTATTCATAAGGTTTAAAAACGTATGCCTAAAAACTGAAGCATCATTATTAATCTGAATTTTATATCATTATCAAAACCCAGCATTTCTGACAATTATTTTCTATTCTTTATTCAGACCCTGCCTCTTTGTAAAAGCAATTTTATTGACTCAGAACTCTTATTCTCAAGGGTCTAAGAACATCATTGGATTTTAGCTGGGGGTGATTATTTTTTTCCTCCAGGGGACATTTGTTATAAAGGAAGGCATTTTTTCAGGGGAGGGGAAGGGAGCTGTTAGTGCATCTAATATGTAGAGGTCAAAGATGTTGCTAAAGCTTCTGTGACGTACAGGACAGCACCTTCACTTCCAACAAATCCATTATCTGGCCCAAGATGTCATTAGTACCAAGGCAGAGAAGCTTGCATTAGATGATATACTGTACTAACAATTCTTGTCTTGTCAGAAGTTCCTTGTGGACATTTAAATCCACTAAGTAGTTTGATTCAATAATATAGTTCAGTTTCATTCATTTCTAAGTGAATATGATAATTTAAAAAGATTATTAGAAAATGCTTAGAGATTAACCCAGTAGCCGTGACTTTTGAGGAAACTGAACAATATATTAGGGGATCATTCAAAGAAACATTTTCTTATCATATCATTTTAAGCTTTGAGTTTTACCTAACAATACATTTCTCTCCTTTCTATAGTACAGTTGAATACTTTTATGTTATTGTTTTATAATAATATTGCAAATAGCAAACCATTCATAATAGAGTGTAAGAGATATGTAGCTCTTTGACGTTCAAGATGAATTTGACTATAGCTATCTTCTACATAAAAAAAAAAATACATTATATACTGTGGTTGGAGAGACACTGTCAGAAACATGCCTACAAGGAAACTATTATCCTTGGAGTCATGTTCTAAAAGCTTTCATTCCATTATTTTTATCAAGTATTTAAAGGACCAGGCTTCCAGAATAGCCATATAACAGGGCAAGTACTCCAGAGAGAGAGAAAAAAAAAAAGAAGTGCAATTTTATTGTCATTTTATGATTGCTTAGATGGTCATCTACCAATGCCCTTGTGTAATGAGGAATATTTTTTCTAAATAAGTGCACAGGAACCCTAGTAAGCTGGTTTAGGAAATGGAAGAGTAGAGACTTAGTGGACACTGATCCCAAACACCTTTGTCTACATTTATCTTTCTTTATTTCAAAAGTTAAACTATTTTCCTTTCAGATAATAAATTACTTCTTCCAGTCAAAGGATCAAAACTGGTGTACAGAGTATGGCTATTTGTTGAAAAAAAATCACACATGTAAAACTCATTTGAAATTGACCCAATTAAAATTGGCTGAAATACTGTATGTGACAGTACGCTTGAAGCTCTCTTGTACTATATATAGGAGAATAGTGATTAGCTGATTCAAGTAGTTAAAGGACAGAACTATTAAAACTTAATAGGAATTTAAGCCATTTGAGAAAATTACTTAAGGTAGCAAAACATTAAAACTTGGTATATATTTTAGACATTGTATTTTTTAAAAGCATGCAATCATGTTCATTTGCTATTCTTTTATGTAGGACCAAATCTTTCTGCTAGAGTAAAAATTAACCTGTAAGCTTTATGTCTTGCATAAAGCATACCCTAATTTATCATATACAATTGTCATTCTCATTTTTAAGGAGTGAAATAATAATTTAAAGACAATTAAGAAGCAACTTAGTACAGTATTTGTCTAAATTTTCTTCAGTGTTTTTTCTAATCATTCTTAGTTGTCTAACCCACACTTTGATATTGATGTTTTGATATTGATGTTATTCACCTTATTGAAATGGATAACATCAATAATCTTGAAGACCTATATAACTGACATTTGGCAAGCGAAACCTCAAATAGTCATTGCAGGGTTAGTGTATTTTAAAAAATGATTAGCTTGTATTATCTTGGCAAATGAGCTTAAAATGAGGGTAAATTATGTCACTTATATACTAACTTTTAGAATATAGAAAACATTAATGGTTGAACTATTATGGGTTTTTGTGTACTATATATATTTTATGAGATGTACCTCATTTTTATAGATTTTTCCTTTTCAAATATATCACCAGCCTTGCATGTAATTTTGATCAATTTTTCAGTACCACTTCCAAAACTTCATGACATTTCTTGACTTTGATACTGATATATATAGTATATTATATATTTACCACATCTTTAAATAAACTAAAAATTTGACAGAATGGATGGAGATAGACGTGGGTCTGATTTTTGAGTGGGGATTCTATTGATCTGCAAAGCAGGCTACATCCACAAGAAACAAAGACATGCTAGTTACTCCACTTTTACCAGTAGTAGAAAACACAAGGTCAGACACATTCTTCAAGCCTATCCCTCAGCAGAAATGCCTGTTGCCTTACTTTCAGCCACCAGTTCCGTTCTCATCTCTCCTACTTGGGCTTTAAGAAAATACTAGAGCCCATGAGAATGGTGAAGCGTCAAGTCTGAATGTGCAATGTTTGAGATGACAGCAAGTAACTTTCCCTCTTCAAAGCTGGGATGAAGTGGTTCAAAGGATCCACATATATGGACACTAGGAATGCCTATTTGAAGGAAAAACTGACATTTAATTATCCTCCTAGATGGTTATTAGGTGGTAGATTCTAGGGGTCTGAATTTGTGCTACCATCAAAATGAGGCTAAGCCTCGTGAGAGAGTTGTTGGAGAAATTGACAAGTTGTATAGGAGTTTGGAACCTAAGCACAGAGAAAGGTACTTTCTTCTTGAATTGAATTTTTGGACATGAAAAGGCTTTTGTGGCAGCTTACAGCAGAGGAAAAACAGTGTGTCTGGGAAGAAGACTTGGCAACTCTATGTTCTAAAGCCCTTAGAAAGTTCAGAAGATGACTTCAATATTTCCCTGTGATTTCATACCAGGAAATATATAAAATCACATGGCTAGGTAATAAGACAGAATAAGTATAAATGCCCATATATTTTATTTTTTAAATTTCAATAGCTTTTGGGGTACAAGTGGTTTTTGATTACATGGATGAATTATATAGTGGTGAATTCTGAGATTTTAGTGTACCCATTAGAAACTGTTCCTTCCAGAAAAAGGTCTGAGGTTATGTGACATGCCTGGGATTAATGAAAGACTTCCTTTGGCTGGCTTTTTCTGAGAATGTCCACATCAGGGGTTGCAGGTAAAAAATAATAATAAAAACCTTAACACAAATATCCTAAAAAACTGTGCCAACCCTTTAAACTGGCTAGTCATTTTGGAAGAGAACATTCGCTGCAAGTGGATCCAAGAAAAATACAGTGAAATCAAGAATGCACACCCTTCACCACCACAGTTAGCAAGAGAATTTAAGAAGATTCCTGTCTCCCCCTCCTCATTCCTATTTCCAGTCACAGAGAAGCACCAAGAAGGGCTTGTGCCAGAGAAAGACGTAAGAATATATCATTAGATTTCACCTGAATTGTATGGGACTAGACTTTTCATAAATAAAATCAATAAGAAGTTATATGAATTGTCTAGCTTGCTTTGCAGTGATTGAAAAGGGTAATTTGATAGACCACAGCTAAAAGCAATAATTGTTAGAAAACAATATCATATTTAAATTATTTTCCCACCGATTTGAGAGTGCTCAATAAACCAATTACTAATTCTAGAGTTAGAAGAAGGGGCATGTTTGAGTGGAAATACATTTATACATTTTCAGTTATGAGTATTTTTGTCTTATGGTGATTTTAATTTCCCTCTGTAATATCATAACTATGAGTACTTTGTTAATAAACACTTAGATAGCATAAACCTTTGGTATATTTTGGGTTACTGTACCTGCCTGGATATTTTAGGTTACTGTATTCATTGCTTTTTTCTCTTATAGAACCAAACTGTAGTTATAACTATTTACATTTTCATGAAATTATTAGATTAAAAATTTAAAGGAACAACAGCTATTGAAATTTTGATATTTTAGAGTGAGAAATATTCTACCATATGGGATGACTGGCATTAAATGGATTATTTAAAATTAAGAAATGTGCTTCAGGATGGGTACAATGGTTCATGCTTGTAATCCCAGCACTTTGGGAGGCCAAGGACAATGGATCACCCGAGGTCGGGAGTCCAAGACCAGTCTGGCCAACATAATGAAACCCCATCTTTACTAAATATACAAAAATTAGCTAGGTGTGGTGTAATCCCAGCTATTCAGGAAGCTGATGCAGAAAAATCGTTTGAACCTGGGAGGTGGAAGTTGCAGTGAGCTGAGATTGTGCAACTGCACTCCAGCCTGGGTGACAGAGCAAGACTCTGACAAAATAATAATAAAATAAAATAAAATAAAAATAAAAGGTGTTTCAGAGAATGAGTCTATGGTAAGTTCCAAATGTTATTGTTTATTTTCTCTAAATCATTACATGGTTTCACAGAGCATAAGTTTACAAATTTCTAAGTGGCACTTAAGCCAGTAAAATTAACTGATAATATTAAATTTTCTTAGGGATGTATCTTCCTATCGTAAGCATGAAATTGTGTGCCATCCATCATCAACGTTTTTTGAAAACCTACTATGACAGGTACTATTTTAAACAGTGGTGATGTTATTGCTATCTAGAGGAAAGCCAGCAAAATAATGAATTAATTGAATATAGTTAAGTATGTCCTATGAGAAATGTATGCTTAGAAACATAAAACCAGAGAACACATCCCAAACTCAGCCTTGACATTTTAGGTTTCGAGAAAAAAATTGACAAGTTAGCTGAGTTTTTAATAAGAAAAAGAGTTTGGCAGATAATTCAAGCTGGTTAAGGATTTTCCATTAAGCATGCACAAAGCTGGTAGCAAAGAGATTTGTGTGTATTCACACTACATGTGTTTGTTTGGATGCTTGTGTAGATCTTTTGAGGTTTTAAATGAGAAGGGAGCCAGCCCATAAGTCTTTTCTGGTATGCAAAAATAGATATCTTATAGCTCTTTATAGGAACTTCTAGGAAAGTGTTATATATTTCTATAAGCATAGTAGAAGAAACCATTATTGGCCAAAGAGGAGCCCACAGTCTCTTTAGCAGTCAGCAGAACAACATTCAGCATGTGGAAATATTATATGCAGGTAATTCCCTAGTTCAGTCTTGGCAGGTTAAACAAATACTTTATTTGGAAGGAATACTTATACAGACAGGTAATAATCATCATCACATTCTTTATAGAATATGCTTTATCTCTGAGATGAGTCATATTAATAACTTACCATGGGTCAAATTAATCATGAGAAAATATTTATAGAGTATAGCCTGGTCATCTAATTGTTTCATGTTGATGTAGCAGTACAATAGAAATGTGTTTTTATACTCTATAGTTTATACATTCAACAAAATATAGAATATTATTATTTATCTTTCAAAATAGCAGTAAGTATTGGAAACATATACCATGTTATTAAGTGTATATTCATTCATAAAACATATATTAGAACTTATAAAATACTATTTTGTTCTAGTTTGCCAAACACAAAAATAGAAAAGTAAAAAAAGGAAAGAAAAGGTTTTCTTATTTTACTTTTATATGAAATGAAATACAATTTTTTAGAAAATATAAAAATGCTCTTTCCTCCATGTTAAAGAAGAGGTTCATATAGGGGTACTGGATTTAGCAACGTAAAGTATAAGCATGGACTATATAATATTTGGTGTATAGATACACTACAAAAATGATTCTTATTTATCTGAAATTCAAATGTAGCAGTGTTTTATCTAACAATACTAAGTTAACAGTTTATATCAAAAGGGTAAATAACTTAAATTTTTGCTAATCATTGTAATAAATGTGCTTTCAGTTATAAACCTGCTTTTGTTTTTCCTTTCATTATCTACACTAGTTTCCAAATTTAACCTTAAAAGAAACATTCACATCAACTAGTTTAAAGTTTATGAGATATTGAAATTAAGTCATTCATAATTTATAAATATCAATACAACATATAATCAAATTGAAACATTTTGCTAAATTATTTATATAAAGTTTTCTTTTATTTTTTAACCTTCAATATCTAGAAACTGCCTTTTCATTTAATTTTTATGTAAATATGTAAAACATTTATGAGATATTGAAGTCAAATCTATGAAACAAGGTATATTTAGAGTAGATTACTTTCTATCTCCATTCGTTCAGGCCTAGTTATTTCCTCTCCCTGTAGAGAACCATATTTTTAATTAAATTTTTTCTTATTTCTCAATTAAAAATAAGCATACTCACACATATACACACATATATTTATTTATTTCCTTTCTTTTAGATAGACAGTTGCATATCATATTCACTTTTGTTCATGTTTTTTTCTATTAATATGTCCTAGCTTAATCATTTAATGTCAGTATATAGAAAGATTACTCGTTGTTTGTTTTTAAAGCTTTATCCAGGCATGATTGATATCTAAGAAACTGCAAATATTTAATGTGTACATTTTAATGAGTCTGGACATATGCATAAACCAGTGATTCCACGGTCACAGGATCCTTCGGGTGTTGCTTTGCCAGCCGGAAACCTCTGTGTCTGGTGCTGCCTCTGCTTCAGTTTCACTCAGACTCACTGAGCTAGTTCCACCCACTTGGCTCAGCAGGCTGTGCTCAGTTCACAATACCAGCCCAAATCCCACACCCACCTAGGGTGAGCCAGGTGCAGAGTGGCAAGAAGTGTGTGAGTCAACAAGCATGAGGGCCAGCCACTATGCACAGCCAGGGGTGCCAACTGCTATGGCGGGGGCAGGCAGCTCAAGGCACAGGCACGGGTACCAGCTCCATGCACAGCTATGGCTGGGCCAGAAGTAGCACAGCAGCTTCCGCTATGGGCACCGACATCTGGACAAGGAAAATGTGGTTGTGCCAGAAAACTCAGAGGCCAGCAACTGTGGAGCCCCAAGGGGTGAGGGAGGACGTGTTACAACTCTCTCATTCCCACTGCCCACAGCACAGTGAATTGAGGCGTGGGCATGTTTCAGTTTATTTGTGTTACACCTTGTTCAGTCCCACTGCCCTCCTCAGGCCCACGGCTCCTGGGCTAGCCCAGCCCTGCTGCTACTTCATGTCATGTGGGGTGACTGCCCAATGCCAGCGGACGGCAGGAGGGCTATAGTGTTACAGCTCTGGCTTGGGGAATTCCGAGGTCTGGGACCCCAGAAGGGTTGCTTGACTTCACTCCCACAGCCTGACAAATGAGAGTGTGTCACCACCTGCAGCTCAGTGAACCAATCAGGAATGTGTTACAGCCCTTTTTGTTCCCACACGCAGCTCAGCAAGCTAGCAAGGAACGTGTTACACCCCTTTTCACATCCACCATTTGGTGGGTCCCAAGTCCGTCCCATGTCCGTTAAGAATAAGGTTGCATGGACAAATGGAGGGTGAGCAAGGCAGAGAAGAGCTTTATTAAGTGACAAAACAGCTCTCTGTAGAGAGTAGACCCAAAGCGGGTATCTCCTACCCACAGCCGGGTAGAGCTGATATATGGCTAAGTCCAGGGTTTTTATGGGCTCAGAATAAAGGCAGTTCATGCTGATTGGTCCAGGAGTGGGTCTGGGAAAAGCACCATCTGACTGGCCAAAAGGCATCAAAGAAGTTCCCACTCTGGGTTGTGAACTCCACCCAGAACTGGCAGCCCTGCCCCCAGGCTTCAGGACATCACCGGCTTGAAAGTCAAGCCTCACCAGGGACCCAGCCCTTTGTACCTAGGGACCTGTTTGCCTCCTACAGCCATCAGTTTCCCCTAGGAAGAGGTACATCTAACTGCCCTTAGGATAGGGATGATGACCACTCTTAACCCCTTCATGCTGACAGAGTGTGTTGCTTTGAAAAAATAGCAGTCAGAGCTCTCTCTCAGAAGCCTACCTAAGAGTCCCTGGTAAAAAGAACCATTGTCTGAGGCTCCACTTGCATGATCATTTGGAGTCTGACAGCGTCTAGGTGAGAACAAACAAATTTTACAAGAAGTTTAAGTATGCATGGACCAAATATGAGTATTACACATAGAGGAGCTAACATGAAAAATCTAGTGCCAAAGATAACAGAAATAAAAAGTAAAATAGACTAAACATTCTAAAAACCATGTTGTGGCTAGAGCTGTTTCACCCTGGTGAAATAAATTAAATCTTGTATGGGGCAATTGAATTTTAAAAGAGAAATGACTGCATAGGGGAGTAGATAATCCCTTGGGAGTTCATGACTAAGGGGTCCTTGACAAAGATGCCTTATAGTGAGGAACAGAACGAAGGTGAGAACAGCAAGCATAGTTGAGACTATAAAGAGGATATCCATGGAATGTTAATTTTTGGCACTTAGTTTTTGTAATTTTTAGCTTGAGGTATCTGATTTCTTCTCATGGGTACTTTAGGTGATCTTCTGAGTCAACAGAGGTAATTCTTTCAGTTTCCCAGGGCTTTACCCAAGTACAATGAATCAAAAAATGTATTTCGGTGATCTTTACTGTGGTAGGAGTAGAAAGAAATACAATCTAAAGTCTCTCCCAATCGAGCCTACAGAGGGAGAAAGGGAAGGAAGTGCCTTTACCAGTATCAAGTCCCCTGGTGATATGGTTTGGCTGTATGATCTCACCCAAATCTCATCTTGAATTGTACTTCCATAATTCCCCCATGTGTGGGAGAGACCTGGTGGGAGATAATTTGCATCATGGGTGCAGTTTCCCCCATACTGTTCTCATGGTAGTGAATAAGTCTCGTAAGATCTGAGGGTTTTATGAGGGGTTTCTGCTTTTTTACCTTCCTCATTTTCTCTTGCTGCCACCATGTAAGAAGTGCCTTTCACCTCCTGCCATGATTCTGAGGCCTCTCCAGCCATGTGGAACTGTAAGTCCAATTAAACCTCTTTTTCTTCCCAGGCTCTGGTATGTCTTTATCAGCAGCATGAAAACCAACTAATATAGTAAATTGGTACCAGTAGAGTGGGAGCATTGCTAGAAAGATACCCCAAAATGTGGAAGCAACTTTGGAGCTGGGTAACTGGCAGAGGTTGGAACAGTTTGGAGGGCTCAGAAAAAGACAGGAAAATGTGGGAAAGTTTGGAACTTCCTAGAGATTTGTTGAATGACTTTGACAAAAAATACTGATAATGATATGGACAATGAAATCCAGGCTGAGGTGGTCTCAGACGGAGATGAGGAACATGTTAGAAACTGGAGCAAAGGTGACTCTTGTTATGTTTTAGCAAAGAGACCGGTGACACTTTGCCACTTCCCTAGAGATCTGTGCAACTTTCAACCTGAGAGAGATGATTTAGGGTATCTGGTGGAATAAATTTCTAAGCAATACAAAGCATTCAAGAGGTAACGTGGGTGCAGTTAAAGGCATTCAGTTTTAAAAGGAAAGCAGAGCATAAAAGTTCAAAAATATTGTAGCCTGACAATGTGATAGAAAAAAAATCCCATTTTCTGATGAGAAATTCAAGCTGCCTGGAGATATTTGCATAACTAACAAGGAGCCAAATGTGAATCACCAAGACAATGGGGAAAATGTCTCCAGGTCATGTCAGAAACTTTTGCAGCAGCCTCTCTCATCACAGACCTGGAGGTCTAAGAGGGAAAAAATGGCCTTGTGGACACAGCCCGGGGTCCTTATGCTGTGCGCAGTCTAGGGACTTGGTGCCCTGCATCACAGATGCTCCAGCTTGGCTGAAAGGGGACAATGTAGAGCTCAGGCTGTGGCTTCAGAAAGTGCAAGCCCCATGCCTTGGAAGCTTCCATGTGGTGTTGAGCCTGCGGGTGCACAGAAGTAAAGAACTGGCATTTTGGAATCTCCACCTAGATTTCAGATGTATAGAAATACCTGGATGCCCAGGCAGAAGTTTGGCAGTGCAGAAGGGAAATATGGGGTTGCAGCCCCCACATAGAGTCTCTACTGGGGCACCGCCTAGTAGAACTGTGAGAAGAGGGCCACCATTTTCTCCCTGCAGGTGGAATGGTAGATCCACCTACAGCTTGCACCATGTGCAAGAGGCTATTCTTACTTTTGTACTACATAAAAATTACATACAAATTAACTTTTAGAACATAAACTATTGCAGAATAAGGAAAATCATTAAATAACCTAGAAGATGAAATAAACTAGATTTCTATGATATATGATACAGAAAGACAAAAATGAAACATCACCTGTGAAACCTTGATGAACCCAAACCAGTTAACAAAAGCAAATCTATGTCTTCATTATTAAACAAGATATTATTAATTTAAATTGCACCAAACATTACAAGAAGGAACTAAAACTAACCTGTGAAAATTAGAATGTGGGAATTAATTAAGCTAAGAGAAGGAATTAATGAGTCATAAACAGAAATAAGGTCTAGTTTATAAGTGTAGTGAAGAAGTTAACAAAAATCAACCATAAAAGAGTCAAAATAGATGCTAACAAAACGGAAATTTAATTTTATAAATAGGGAGATAAAAATAACATTATAATATAGAAATGCATTCTAATACATTTTAGTGAAGTAGGTATTTTCTGAAAACTTTTGACATAAGAAGTAAGAAACCTAAACAGAAATATAACCACAAAAAGACTGCTTTAAAAGAAACTTAAAAAAGAATGTCAACAAGTGCTACTGAAACAACTTCCAGGTGTCTTAGTCAGTTTGGGCTACTATGACAAAAATATCATGGGCTGATTTGCTTAAAACACACCTACTTCTCATGTTTTTAAAGGCTGGGAAGTCCACCATCAATGCCCCAGTTTATTCAATTTTTTATGAGGGCTCTTTTCCTTGTTTGCAGAATGAAGCCTGCTTGTCATAGATAGAGAGAGACAGCACTAGTCTCTTTTACTTTTTACGAGGACAATCATCATGGAGTTTCCAGCCTCATGACTTTATCTAAACCTACTTACCTTCCAAAGACCCCACTTCCTAATATACTCTCCCAGCACCTTGGGAGTTAGGCTTTCGACATGAGAATTCTGGGGGAACAGAAACATTCAGTCCACAACAGAAAGTAAATTATTTATCACAAAAAGTCTTTCTCTTAAGAACGGTTTAGTCCTATGTTATAAAGCAGATTTTGACCTGAGAAATTCATAATTGATAATTATGAATTAATTTTATGACACCAGCATAACAATAATGTCAGAAAACACGTATATAAATTAGGAAAGCATAGAGTAAATATTTTTCTTTATTAATAAATGAAAACAGATTCAAGGTAATCTTCTAGCATATTTAATATGCAGTATTTTTAAATTAAAATATACCAACATTAAATATTCTTTATTTTAAAAAGGTAAACCTTGTTGGATATTGTAAAATCAGTTAATTTATTTCAACACAGCAATGGGCCACATAATTTTTTTTTCTTCAGTCATGAGAAAAGTTTGTGGAATGCATTTGTACTTATCTAATATAATAAATAAAATATTCTTCAATGTAATAGACTATGCTATATCTACAGGTAATTCCCCAGCATGATATTGCCCATAAAATACTACAAATTAAGAATGTCCTTAATCACTCACATTATTCAGCATTTTTATGAAAATCCTAGAATGTGATGTATAAGAAGCTCCTATATCTATTCAATATTTATTATTACATATTTACTGGATATGTATTATTATATTGAATATATAATATAGAATTTACAATTGCCTTTATAAATATAATATTGAATTTATAAATATATAATGTGTATTATTTAATATATTGCATAATAAAATATATTAGTATATTAGTGAATATATATTATACCTATTTACTATGTATAGTATATAATACATATGTTTAATATATAGTATTCGATATATATTATTTGATATATTTAATTAATATATATTCAATGTACTTATTTAATATATATTTTGAATGCAATTTAATATATATACTGAATATGTATGGAATATATATTATATTTTGAATATATATTTTCAATATGTATGTATTTTGTGTGTGTGTATATATACATATATATATGGCAAACAATCTCACCTCACTGAAAAGTGGAAAAAATATTCATGAGAATTTTGTGAAATTGGCCACTTAGAAAGTATCTCAACACCACTAGTAATCACAAAATACAAATTACATTTAAAAAGGAATAGCATTTCTCACCGATTATTTTGAAAAAATTTCAAATCTGACAATAAAATTGAAATCTAGGGATAGGTGCAATGATAAGAACCTTATAACTTCTTTTGCAAATGTAGTTTACACAACCATTTTGGAAAACTGAATGGCGATATCTAATAAAGTTGAAAGATATTGTATTGATGAATATATAGATCCTACTACCAGACACAAAACATATCATTGGCTTAAGTAAGAGTGCTTATTTTTTTCACATAACTATCCAGGCATAAGCAGCCTGGGGTCTGGATCACAGATTCTCTTAGGACTCCACCACTCCTCAGGAGAGGCCAACACCCTCATGTTCCAAGATGCAGAAGATACGTAAAGCAGCACATTGAAAACACTGGAGAACAGCCAATTTATCATGGCATTTTAGAGGGCGGCATCATATTTAACAAAATTTAACATATTATCTTAATGTTAACTCTGGCCCACATTCTAGAATTTAACTTTATTTAAAGAAAATAATTACCATTTTTATGTAGAAGAATAAGAAAATAATCCAATATAATATCCTATGAAGACTTTATGAATTAAAATTTTATGAATTAAAATTATTAAATTCCATTTCTTTCTTTTAACATCATATGCGCATGTTCTTAATCACAAATATTATTAATTTGTCTCTACCTCTGCATTTACATTTTGCTTTAATATCTAGCAGTTTAGGGCTTTTCATTTTTGATTTCCCTTAAGTAATGTAATAATGGCGATATTAAAAATGCTGAATCATGAACTTGGTTATATTAAATGTTAATTATATTAAACAAATAAATTTCATATTTTTAATATCACAATATTAATTTTCCTGACTTATTTTATTTTACTATTAAATTATAGGCCTTCTCATTCAGATGTTTTTGCAGTTTGAATATTGTTATGTCCTGTATAATTAGTTATGCCACAGAGTAGGAACCATTGGCTGTATTCTTAATATATAATTAACCATTTCTATTTGAACTATATTAATATATATTCAAAATACTTATATTTTTATACCAAGAAGTTATTTGAAAATATCCAATTCATATCCAATATATTTCCAGTTAGATCTTGATATTTTTGCATTAAATTTATTTATATTTTTTCTTAATACTATCTAAACACTGTAAAATATATATTAACATTTGCATCATAATACTATTTTTTATAAACAGCATTTTAAAAAGTTAAAGGTAATTTGACAGTCGATTAAATATTATGTAAGATTAAATTGAGTATATTCTATAAGTTTTTATATCTCTTTCATTAAGTTAATACCAAAAGAGCTTATAACTAATATATAATTTAATGGTATGTCAATTTTGTAACAGAGAAATATCAATAGAAAAACAAAGATTCTTTCTACACTGTCAGGATTCATTGTTTTTTGAAATCAAGTTTTTGGAAAAATTTATTTTTCTTCTACTAAGTGACTCAGTTCTAAAAAATGTTATAGCATGACCAGGTGGAAAAAGTAAAAAATAAATAAATAAATACTTGCTGATTTTTTTAAAATGTCAAATAACCATTACTCATCAATAATATATAAATAATTAATTTATATATTTTGAAGCAGAATTTTATAAATCCCAAATCTATGTTAAGATATGCTCAGTATTGAGACTCCAGGGTATCTGGCCTTGTCTGGGGACTGCTCAGGCTAAGTATAGCTGGAAATTTAGGTACACTTCCTATTTTATAGAAAACATCAAACTTAAGATTAAAATATCTGAGTTTTTATAGGGGTGAGAATAACTTCAATATGCCAGGCGCAGTGGCTCATGCCAGTAATCCCAGAACTTTGAGAGGCTTAGGTGGGAGGATCCCTTGAAACTGGGAGTTTGAGACCAGCCTGGGCAACATAGTGAGACCTCGTCCCTAAAAACAAGAAAGTGAACAAACACAGGAATAAATTCAATAAAGCCTAGCAATTGAAGCAAGCAAAGATTCTTTACAGACTTAGAATTCGTGTTTAAAGGAAGTAGTGGAGCTACAAATATAATACTAAGCATGTCCATGTGACTAAAATAATTGGGAAGCTCTGGAACACAAGAAAATTATCATTGTTTGAGTACTTGTAAAGTGAAATTTAGACAGGAATGAACAATTTGTATTTTGCCACAAATGAAACCCACACGCATGCAAACGTGTGTCTGTGTATATGTATGCATGGATGGATATATGTATGTACATATGCACGTGTGTGTAGATATATACACATACCCCATATGTATATATGTTTGTATGTATGTGTATATGCATGTATACACACACACACACACACACGTAATATCATTAAATTTTGGCTTAAATAATCGAAAGCAAGCTGGCTTGCAACATAAGTGATGATTCCATTCTTTTGTTGGTAGTGAGAAGTCAGGCCTATGTATGACTATTGTTATTGCAAATATTAGCTTGTGGTGGCAAGTGGCTCCTGGCCTTCATGGATCAAAAAATGCCCAAAGAGAACATATTAATTAAAATAATCAGAGAAAAATAGGAAGGAAACAAACCATAGCATACAGTAGCTGAGAATACTTGTTTATGAAAAATATTCTATGGAATCTCAAAAATAATTATAAAATTTTGATGTTCTTGCAATAGAGAATAGGTTGACAAGCTGGAGAAGTTATTATTTCCTGTTACGCCCTCCCTCCCCCCGCTCCATTACCCTAGGTATGGCCCCATTTTTCTTCAATGGAAATAAAGAAGAAACTGTAAAAATCATAGCTTTAACTATATGAGCTAATGAAGTGGCTGCTGTGTGTATTGGGAGAGTGTATGAATATTAACCACTTCTAATATGCTTATGATGTGTTAATTATTTCATATTTCATCTATCTTTTGTTTTAAAATACAAACAGGGATAGGAAATAATGTAATAGTTTGAAAGCTGGAAATGAGACTTTTGCAATTGCTAAATGTCTTGAAATATTGTCTCAGGTGAAGTCTGGAGAAAGTATTCTGTTCAATTATACAAGGTAGAAGAAGAGGAACGTTTTATATGTGTGTCTGAGATTTGGATGGCAAAATGAATCCTCTGACAATGTGTAATGTTTCTAATATAGGTTTGGTGTTTGAATTCATAATACTCCTGTGGCATAGGAACTAAGAGAAAGGTAAACTAAAATTAAAAAATTATATTTCGGGGAGTGAAAATTCTGAGTGTGTAGAAGAAAGAAAGAAAAATTATTACAGAGAAAAACACACTCAAACCAAGCTACACAGAATTCCCAATGAAAACGCTGCTGTGAGTTGGAGTACAAATAAATATAAAAAATACAGTAGGAAAACATTTACTTTTGAGTAAGATTTGCAGGTTATAGAGTTTTAGATGATAAAGCAGACTGATAGAATCTATGAAATATGTAGGTGTAAATACACAAAGATATTTAAAAAGTTACGTCCACAATAAAGACAAAATATTATTAAAAAATTAGTAGAAAAAAATTGAAAAGTTACTAATAAACACCAACTAAAAAACTTCCTGAAGGAATTGTGTGTTTGTGTGTGTGTGTGTGTGTATGTGTGTATGTGTGTGGAGCTATACAAAACTAAGCAGCAATGCATTAACAGAAGTTATCTCTAGATAGGCTACATGTTTTTATAGATGTATTTCTTTATATATTTTTGTATGTTCTAATTTTATACAATCCAATGCTTCTGTAATTGTAAAATCATATTAAAATATACATTAAAGAGAATTTAACTTTCATGTGTTAAAAGTATAATAAAAATGTACCTTTAGGAGATAATTAAATAGAACTAAAACATCGGAAGAAAACTAACATATAAGACCAAAGAGAATTTAAGCATTCTAAGTAGTGATGGGCAGGAGCTAGAACATATCTGCTCATGAGAGCCGATTTTTCACATCTCTACTCAGCATTCAGAGAAGTAACATTGGTGGCTTAAAATCTGCAGCAGTGGAAATATTTACACCACATAATTTGGAATGCTACTTATCAGGCCATTAATTTGTTTATGTATTTATTTATTGCCGTAACATAAAAATATGAGTTTTTATAGATGGATTACCAGCAAATTTCTAGGACAATGGCTTTTGGATTATTATTTTTGGTAAAACAGGCTAAAGATACAGATTTACCCAAAGCTTAATTATGGTTCTAAAAGACCTAGTGTAAATGCTAAGTTAAAGATTATATATATGAATACATATAATCACATATATATTTTATATATATTCTCTCTATATGTATATATATTCTAATTTATTGGAAGAAAAAAAAATTAGAAAAATAATTCAGTCAACCCAAAGAAGAAAAGCATGAGGTTAAATGAATAAACACAAAGTAAGTAAACTGTACTCAGTAAAATGGTAGTTTTGTTTCAGAAATCATGATACATATAAATGGACTAAACTGTCTCATTTTATAAATGAAGTTTCCATGCCAGATAATAAAATAAAATTACAAAATGCAGCATTTATAATAGGCATATTTATAATAGAGGGACACAGATAGATGGATAATAGGTGTTAAAAATTTTTACCAGCAAATATTAACAAAATGAGAGGTAGCATCACTATCTTTATAACACCAATATGGACAACAGAAGAAAAACGCTGCCTGAGACATAGGGGATTATATCATAATGTAACATGCTTTGTTTACTGAAAAGGGATAATTCTTCTAAGTTCTCTACATCTGATAACATGTGCTCAAATATATATAAATCAAAAGTGAGCACAACTACAAGGAAAACTGATGTCCAACATCATACTGTAAAAAATAATACATATCTTAATTAATAGATTTAGCTGACAAGCAATCATTTGTGACAGTCATTCTTTTTAGATTGGCAATACAAATAACTAATTAATGCATACAAAAAATGCTAAAATACTAAGTATAAAAGTGAGATGAAAGAACATCAATGGGATATTAATACTAACATTAGAAGTCTGGGGTGCCTATATTTTACCATGCAAAGTAAAAATCATTTTTGTGTTTAAAAAAGAATTTGTGAATTATGACTGAAAGAATGATTTACCAATAATACATAACAATTATACATTTGTATATACATCATGAAATAGTCTCAAAATACATCAAGCGAAATTTGAAAAAATATGAGATTATTTTTTAATTTATAATTATAGTGGGAGCTTTGAACCTATTCTCAGCATAACTGATACAGCAACAAAAACCTATTAGTCTATGTAATGTGAATGGCATAATTATAAAGCATAACGTAATGACTGTGTGAAGATCTGTGCAACCAATGCTTAGAGAATAACCATTATGTTAAAATACTCATAGGACATTTATACATTCCAGAGAAAGAAGAGGGGAGTCATGTGCTAGTACCTTTAAACCCCAAGAATCATCAGCTATTTGGAAACTACCTGAAAGACAGAGAAAAATAACAAGATTAGAAATAAAATAAATGATTCCGAATAAAATATTCAAGGAACAGCAAAGCTTTTTAAACAATCAACTTTTTCTTATTTGCATTGAGAGACAGTTGAGAAGATAGCACCACTACACAAAATGTTGATGATTTGAAAATAAAATAATCAGTTAACAACAATGAAGACTATATTCAAAAGTTGACTCAATTAACAGAGGAGTCTGTGCAAACAGATTAAAAATAAGACTATTAGGACAATAAGTAAGAAGAGACAATTAATAGAAAAATATTGTACATAATCAGGGAAAATACAGTAGTACAATAAAATAAGATAGGAAAATATAAAAAGGTAAGAAAGTGGTTCAAGACAAAATAAAATAAGTATATGTTGCTCAGGTCACTATTAATCAATATTTATAGATAATTTTTCATAATTTCAGTTATAAAGATAACATCTGAAATTTCAATCCCCTTATAGAACTTGAGTAAATTTAAAGTTTTAAATATCTGAATTATTTAAATTTTATTAATCATTTTATATGCAATAAAAAGGTAAGATTTTTTTGTACTTAGCACAATTCTATTGATTTTTAGAAGATAAATATTAGGTTTTTATTTTATAGAAGATTCTTTAAATTCGAAAATAAAATACTTACATGAATAGGTAAATTTCATTTCCAACCAGTATACAGTAATGCATTAACTTTTGATGTTTTTATTTAATATTTAACATTCAGAAAATTATTTTAAGCAAAATATATAATTTTTAGCTGCTAAAGGTTAAATTATAAGAAAAAACAGTATCTATTTTGTATACTTTACATATGAACTTCAGTTATTACAAGTGACAATATTCTACCATTTGTATAGTAAATTTAAATGACATACATGAAATATTGAAAGATTTTCACTTATATTTTCCAGATATTAAATTGAAAATGCTTATTAATTTCATTTAACCTTTGATCTGTATCTATCCATACTTAATGAATGGTTTATTTTGTATTACGAATAGCAAAGCTACACTAAATTGAGCTATTCTGTATTTATATGTAGGAAACTTAGTCATTTTTATATTTTTGTAAAAAATGATATAAAATTAATATATTTAAAAATATTTTGTCAACTATGTAGCTTTATAAAAGAGTTCTCATTTTAAAACAAATAATCTTATGACTATAGGTATTATAGATTGAATGCAATATAAATATTTAAATATTTTTTCTATTGTTATGCTAGTCATAACTCAACAGGCAATGCAGCCCTATTTAAAAAAACTTCATGTTAAAAATATAAAAATGTTTTGTGCTTCTTTTTTACTTACTGAAGAGGTAAGATACTTTACAAATTTGCATTTGACAACTAATTTTGCTTAATAAAATAAATACGCATTATCAATTCACTGTGTACACTGAAAACATAATTTCTCAATCATCACTTGTTAAGCACATCCAACCATTCTAGATTGATTAGATTAGTATTTTAATAAGCAATTTTTCATTTAGGCACACAGTTCAAATGACAACAACAATGCTTCAGTAGCTACAATTTGTTTTGGTTTGTCATTGCTTTTAACTGAATTTTAATGTTTATTATTGAATCATTTACAAAATAACACTTATTTTTTGTTTAATGTAAGCATAGACTTTACTTATTTTTCTACCTTTTTTGTATGACTTAAACTTTATATCATCTCTCAAATGTTTCCCTTTTATTCTCTGTATTCTCTTTCTTATTTGTTTTTGAAAAATGAAGCTTTGTTCATTGAAAAAAAATTGAGGAAAATAAAAAAAACTTTTTTAGAAAAATTAGTGTATAATTAACTTATTTGCAAATTGTGCCTGTTAAAATGCCAGGAGTTAGAAAAAAAAATCTATGTTTCGAGTTGTTTTCTTTGCTAAAATTTATCAGGAAGAAAATTAAAACAATAGCTAATAAAAAAGTCATCATTATGAAAATAAGTAGGCACATCAATATATTTAATTAATTCAAGTTTCACAAAGGTTTAAAAATTAAAGACTAAACTTCTCGTAGAGTAAGTAAAAATGTTGGCTTCTATTAGCTGGTGAGTAAAATGCTATGTTAGCTCATCTTAATTGACAAATTACCTACTGCTCTGTGCCTGTACTGTTAGGAACAAATGCCTTCAAAACCATGAACTTGTAAGAAAATATATCCTCAAATGTGTGTTGTCATTGTTTTTGGCTGTATGGAAAAGAGACCGCAATAATGAGGACTAGGCAATTAGCCATTAAGAACTTGGTTCTAGCTTTTCAGTTTATTACATTTTCAATGCATTCATAATTTTGTACCAACAATACTACCCCTCACAAATTAGAATATATGTATATGAAGTAATAGCTGGTATTCTAATGAAAGAAAGAGGAGTAAAATCACTCAATATTATCACCAGTTTTTTGGTTTTTGTTTTTCTTCTTTCCAGGATGGCAGGACAGAACAGTGTGAGGAGAGTCACACTGTGAACTTTTGAGGTTTCTAAACTCTTAGATTTCTCTTCTAAGCCAAGCACATCAATCATGCTTAGGTTTGGCCATTTTACATAATCCCATAATTCTTGTAGACTTATTCATTTTTTAAAATGTTTTTGTTTGTTTGTTTCTGTCTGATTCGGTTACTTCAAAACCTTGTCTTCTGGCTGTGAAATTCTTTATTCTATTTGTTCTACTCTATTGTTGAAACATTCCACTGTACTTTGTATTTTCCTAAGCATGTTTTTCATTTCCAGAAGTTCTGATAGATTTTTCTTTATGATCTCTATTTTTCTGGGAAGTTTTTTATTTATATCATGTTTGTTTTAAGTTTCTTTAAGTTGGTTTTCACCTTTCTCTGATATCTCCTTGAGTACCTTAGTAATCAAATTTTTTAATTCATTATCTGGCAATTCATAGATTTCTTTTTCGTTTGAATTCATTGCTGAAGAGCTAGTTTGATCATTTGGGGTTGTTATAGAACCCTGTTTTGTCATACTACTAGAATTACTTTTATGATTCTTTCTCATTTGGATACATTATTTCTTCGAATTGTTCTTGAATTTATTTTTGATTGGACTGTGGTTCTTTTAATTTCTTTTTTATTCTTAAGGATTAAACTTTGATGTTTATTTAGTTTAATTGTATTCGTGTTGCTTTTAGGGGTGAAGATCTGTATGAGTCTCTTGGTTATAGATTATTTTTCCACTGGCTTTTCCAGATGCTGGTACCAGTAGTTATGTTCTTGGTACGTGGGTGAGTTCAATGTCTCATATGGGGTTGGAATGGCAGAGATCTCCTGAAGCTCATCTCATCCTGTCATGGTTTTCATTTTATCTATTTAATTTTTATATATTTAATTTTTCCTCGCGTTTTATTTACTGAGCTGGTGATTCAGGCTTCAGGCCAATAGGGGCGGTATCCCTGAGTAGGTGATTTGTAGCTAAGGCAGGTGGGTAGAAGTAATATCCAATGGTGGCCCATTGGATATTATCCAGTGCTGGTCCCAGCTGCCCTGGGTTCGCTGCCCTGGCTCTTCAGGAAGTGGCTGTCTCCCACACTCAGACATTCAGACGCTGACAGGCAGCCTCACCCCGCAGCCTTACCTCCACTTCCTGTAGCATCCAGGGGAAAGGCAGAGGATTTGGGGGCAAAACCAGAGAGCAGATGCTGTGAGGCAGGTATGGAGTCACCTTATTTGAGGAAATAATTAAGGAAAACATCTTGGGCCTTCCTAGAGATCTAGACATTCAAACATAAGAAACTCAAAGAACTCCTGGGAAATTCTTTGCAAAAAGATCTCCACAAAGGCACATAGTAATCAGGTTATATAAAATCAAGATGAAAAAAATAATTTTAAGAGCTGTGAGGCAAAAGCATCAGGTAACCTATAAAGAGAAACCTATCAGATTACCGGCAGGTTTCTCAACAGAAATCTTACAAGCCAGAAGGGATTAGGGGTCTATCTTTAGCTTTCTTAAACAAAATGATTTTCAGCCAAGAATATGATATCCAGAAAAACTAAGCTTCATAAACGAAAGAGAGAAAAAGGGTTTTTCAGACAAACAAATACTGAATTTGCCATTGCCAAACCAGCACTATAAGAAATGCCAAAAGGAGTTCTAAACCTTGAAACAAAACCTCAATAAACACCAAAATAGAATCTCCTTAGAGCATAAATCTCACAGGACCTGTAAAACAATAACATGATGAAAAAAACAAAGTTTTTAGGTAACAACTAACAGATGAAAAGAACAGTACCTTACATATCAATACTAACATTGAATATAAATAGTCTAAATGCTCCACATAAAAGATAGAGAATGGTGGAATAGATTAAAAAAAAAAAAAAAAAACACCAACCAAGTATCTGTCTTCAAGAGACTCACCTGACACAAGGACTTACATAAACTTGAGGTAAAGGGGTCAAATAATTTTTCTATGCAAATGGAAACCTATAGCAAGCAGGAGTAGCTATTCTTGTATCAGACAAAATAGACTTTAAAGCAACAGTAAAAAAAAGAGTATGAAGTATATTATATAATGATAAAAAATTAGTCCAACAGGAAGCTATTATAATCCTAAATATACTTGCACCCAACAATGGAACACACAAATTTATATAACTGTTACTTACCACTAGACCTAAGAAATGAGATAAACAGCAGCATAATAATAGTGAGGGAATTCAATACTCCACTGACAGCACTAAACAGATTAGCAAGATAGAAGGTCAACAAAGAAACAATGAATTTAAATTATACCCTAAAATAAATGGACTTAACAGAACATTCTACCCAACAACTGCAGAATATACATTCTTCTCCTCAGCACATGGATCATTATCCAAGATAGACCATATGATAGGCCACAAAACAAGTCTCACTAAATTTTAAAAAAAACAAAATTATATTACGTACATTCTCAGACCACAGTGGAATATAACTGAAAATCAACCGCAAAAGGAACACTCAAATCTATACAGATACCTAGAAATTAAGTAATCTGCTCTTGAATTATCTTTGAGTGAACAATGTAATCAAGATGAAAATTTAAAAATTTTTGAAATGAATGATAATAGTGGCAAAACTTATCAAAACCCCTGCGATACAGCAAAAGCAGTGCTAAAATGAAATAATTCATAGCATTAAATGCCTACATCAAAATGTCAGAAAGAGCACAAAGAGACAAGCTAATGTGACACTTTAGGGAACTACAGAAACAAGAACAAAGTAAACCAAAACCCAGCAGAAGAAAAATAACAAAGATAAGAGCAGAACTAAATGAAATTGAAACCAAAAAATGCAAAAGATAATTGAAAGAAAAACCTGGTTCTTTGAAAAGATAAACAGAATTGATAGACCAACGATTAGCAACAACAAAAAATCCAAATAAGGAAAATAAGAAATGAAACAAGATATTACAGCCAATACCAAAGAAATACAAAGATCATTTAAAGCTACTATGAACACCTTTATGTGCCAAACTGAACAATCTGGAGGACATAGATAAATTTCTGAACATATACAACACTCATAGATGAAACCAGGAAGAAATACAAACCCTTACCAGACTAATAACAAGCTGCAAGATTGCATCAGTAAAAAAAAAAAAAAAAAAAAGACAACAAAAAAAGTCCAGGAACAGATGAATTAACAGCTGAATTCTATTAGATATTCAAAGGAGAATTGGTATTAATCCTACTGAAACTATTTAGGATTGTGATATTTCCCTGAAGGACTAGTCCTTTTATCATTATATAATGTCCTTCTTTGTCTTTTTTAACTGCTGTTGTTTTAAAGTCCTTTTCGTCTGATATGAGAGTAGCTACTTCTGCTCCTTTTTGGTGTCCTTTTGCATGGAATTTTTTTTCCACACCTATACCTTAAGTTTATGTGAGTCCTTATGTGTTAGGTGAATCTCTTAAAGAAACCAGATACTTGGTTGGTGAATGCTTATCCATTCTGCCATTCTGTATCTTTTATGTGGAGCATTTAGGCCATTTACACTCAATGTTAGTATTCAGATGTGAGGTACTATTATATTCATTTAACTATTTGTTGCCCGAATACCTTGTGTTTCTTTTTCTTCCATTGTGCTATTGTTTTATAGGCTGTGTAAGACTTTTGTTTTAAGGTGGTTCTATTTTGATGTATTTTGAGGTTTTGTTTCAAGATTTAGAACTCTTTTTAGCAGTTCTTGCATTGCCTACTTGGTAGTGGCAAATTCTCTTAGCATTTGTTTGAAAAAGACTGTATCTTTCCTTTATTTTTGAAGCTTAGTTTTCTTGGTTAGCAAATTCTTAGCTGGTAATTGTTTTGTTTAAGGAAGCTTAAGATAGGAGACTAATTCATTCTAGCTTATAGGATTTCTGCTGAGAAATCTGCTGTTAATTTGATAGGTTTTCCTTTACAGGTTACTTAATACTCTTGCCTCAATCTTGACTTTAGATATCCTGATGACCATGTGCCTAGGAGATAATCTTTATGTGATGAATTTCCCAAGTGTTCTTTCAGCTTCTTGTATTTGAATGTTTAGATCTCTAGCAAAACCAGGAAAGTTTTCCTCTCTTATTCTCTCAAATAAGTTTTTCAAACTTTTAGATTGCTCTTCTTTCTTGGGAACATCAATTATTCTTAGGTTTGGTCATTCAACATATCCCCAAACTTCTTGGAAGTTTTGTTCATTTTTTTAAATTCTTTTTTCTTTTTCTTTGTTGGATTGTGTTAATACAAAGGCCTGGTCATTGAGCTCTGAAGTTCTTTCTTCTACTTGTTTGATTCTACTACTGAAACTAGTGTATTTTGTACTTCTCTAAGTGTGTCTTTCATTTCCTTCTCTAAGTGTGTCTTTCATTTCCAGAAGTTGTTACTGTTCTTTATTTACATTATCTATTTCTCTGTATATTTTTCCATTTATATCCTGCATTACTTTTTACATTTCTTTATGTTGGATGTTAATAATTGACCTTCTGAGTTCTTTTCTAGGCAAATTATAGACTTTTTTTTGGTTTGGATCCATTGCTGGTGAACTAGTGTGATCTTTTGAGGGTGTTTAAGAACGTTGTTTTGTCATACTACCAGAATAGCTTTTCTGGTTTTATTTTATTTGAGCAGGCTATGTCAGAGGAAAGATCTGGGACTCAAGCACTGTTGTTCAGATTTTTTAGTCCGATGTGGTGCTCCGTTAATGTGCTCTCCTCTTTCTCCGCTTTCTAAGAGACAGATTGCATGATTTTTATTGCTCTTCTGGATCTAGTCACCCAGCAGAGCTACCAGGTTCTGGGCTGGTACTGGGGAGTGTTTGCAGAGTCCTGTGATGTGATCCATCTTCGTGTCTCTCAGCTGTGGATACAAGAACATGCTCTGGTGGAGGTAGCAGGGGAATGAAGTGGACTCTGTGAGGGTCCTTGATTGTAGTTCTGTTTAGTGCACCGGTTTCATGGAATGCTGGTTGTGCTAGCAATGAAGTTATCACATGGACAGACTCAGAACCTCTAGTTAAATAGCATGTTACAGATGGTGGAATTCACTGTTGCTTTCTTTTTTTCTTGGAGCACCACTGTTCTTCTTTCAGTTGCTGTAATGGCTTGATTTGGTTGGCCTCCAGTGCGGAGGTGGCACTTTCAAGAGAGCATCAGCTGCAGTAGTATGGGGGGATACAAGTTTGTTCTAAGATCACGTGGATAAGTATTTGGGTTTCTCAGCTGATGGGCAGGGCCGCAGATCTTCCATGAGATTATATTTTTGCCTTCAACTACCAGGGTAGGTAGAGAAAGACCATCAGGTTTAACCAGGTTTAGGTGTGCCTGAGCTCAGACTCTCCTTGAATGGGGCTTTCTGTAGCCACTGTGGGGGCTCAGGGTGTGGTTCTTAGGCTAATGGAATTATGTTCCCAGGGGGATTATGGCTGCCTCTACTGCATCATCCACATCACCAGGGAACTTGGGAAAAATCAGAAGTGACAGGTCTCACCCAGCTCCCATCCAGGCAACAAGGCCAGTCTCACTCTCACAATGTTCCACCAACAGCATCGAATTTATATACAGACAACTGGTGAGAAGGGCTGAGACCTTGCCCCAGGCTACATGTCTCCCCACTGAGAAAGCAAGCAGGGCTTTCAGTCCCCACCCTCCCCACCTGCCACAGGTTCTGTGCTCATGTCTGCACTTCCTATTCGCTTCCTCCCAGACTCTGCCCAGAACAATTTGTGCTTGGTCGAATTTGTTACAACATTCAAGTGAAAGTTTCTATCTCGCTGTGGTCCTTCCCCGATTCCACTGGTAGCCCTCCCCAAGGACTCCTGTGAGATAAAGTCAGAAATGGCTTCCTGAGCTTTCCTGGGAACTGGAAGTGTCTACTCTTCCCACTGCTGCTTCTTCTTTTATATTGTATTCAGCTCTCTGAATTCATTTCAGTTCTAGGTAAATTATTCTTCCGTTATCTGGATGTTCAAGTTCTCCAAAGGCAATATGTGTTTGGAGGTAGACTTTCTCCCTCTCACACTTTGGGCACTTAACGGTTTTTTAGCTGTCACATGGAGTTTGCAGTGGCAAGCCACTTCTTTCAAAGGGTCCATGTATTCTTTAAGATTTCCTGGTATGTTCCTGCAGTAGTAGTTCTTGGAGCAAAAGTTAACAGTGTGAGTCTTCACACAATGTTCTGTCCATCAGAGTGAGACCTGGAAGTTAGTCCTGCCTCTTATTCATCATTTTTTTTTCCCCATACCCTGTTTTCTAATAGCATCTTCTGTGGCTCTATTATTGCACAAGGGATGACAGATACAATAGAGGACACTTATTTCATGGTTATTTATTATTTAAAAATAATCTGCACAATGATGATAATATTATATAGATTATATATATGATGTTATCAGTTAAAATATATATGATATATAATATATATACTATTACATATTTAATATATATTATTTTAAAATAATCCACACAATGATGATAATATTATATATAAACATATTATATATAAATATATAGCATGTAATTATAATGTTACATTATAATTATATTAACATATAATGTATTATAATTATTATAATATTTTGTTATATAACACATAATATATTATATTATAATTATAATATGTTATATATGCTATTATGTGCAATATATAACATATAGTAATATTATATATTTATGTATAATATACATATAATAAATATATTTTATAATAAATATATTTTAATACTTTGTATATATAATTATACTGCAGACTTGTGGTTTGAATCACGAAAATCATTAAGTTTAATCTAAATATGCATCTTATATTCTTTACCTTCTTCCATTATGTAGGACCCAGTAAATCTCATCTCCACTGGTTACTTTACCTGAATGTAGCCAGCACCTTTGAGGCCTTTTATTAGTTGCCAGAATTTCATTTGTACTCATCACACAGAATCTATCCAGCAGGGGTTACACTATTGAAAATATATTGGTTGCTACAATCCAGATAGTTAAAATTATGCTATCATAGAAAATAGGAAAGCTTTGGGAAAAAATAAAAATTATAATTTCTTTGTCAAGTTCTAGAGAGGTTACTTCTTAAAGGAGCCAGGTTTGCATTCTGAATCATCTTCGATCATAGGTAATGTTGCTTCAAAGTCTTCACCTACTGAAGCTGATTATTTTATGTAGCCTTGTAAAGTTTTCTAACCTGCTCTAACTTGCTTAATTTCTAATGTCCTTTGCAATTACTCTTTCTCATGTTTCAATTTCCACAGAGCTCAATGAGTCACTTGTAAAAACTGCCTAGTCTGCACTGCAAGAAAATATTTTTTCTGGCTTTTTCTTCTAGACATTTTTGCAAATGTGAAACATACACATGTAATCAACCACACACACACACGCACATACACACACACACACACACACACAATGATTTCTTCCTTACCTCAACAAATATTTGCTAAGCATTTCTTATATGATAGTTTCTGCTCTAGATTCTGAGCATTTGCTCAGAATGCAACAAAACAATTGCCTAACAAATTAATTTATAATATATCATGTAGGTGAAATTCTATAGAGTATAACTTGTTGAGATGCCAGTTTTAGCCAATCAAGACACAAGACTCACAATTAAATTTGAATTTCAGAAAAATGCTGACTAAATTTTTAGTATAAAAAGTCCCATGCCATATAAACTTATTATAATTAACACTTGGAAATTATCCTAAAAATTTAATATAAAATATTTATTGGTTATATGAACTTCGAATTAAACTAGGTGTCCTCCATCTGTGATCTGTAGCACAATAATAGAGCAACAGAAGGTACTGTTTAGGAAGACAGGTCTGAAGATGTGGCAACTGAGCAGAGACCTAGTGAAATGAGAGACAATGTGCAAATCTTTCTGGGAGAATAACCTAAGCAGAGTAAACGATATGTGTAAAGTTCCTCAAATGGAAAGTCACTGTTGCATTGGAGAAAAAACAACATAGCCAGCACAGCTAGAGTGTAGGGAATAAGTGGGAGTGGTATCCTTAAATAGGCCCTGACATCTCCTTTGGTTTTTATTCTAGGTTTTATTGGTAGCTCTTAGATTGTTGCAACACAGAGAAGTTATATTATTACTTTGGTTTTTATATGAATAATGGAGACACATTGGAAGATTATTGCAATAATCTTAAGTAAAAAGTTTGGCAGCTTGTGCTAATGTAGTGCTAATGGAGGAGGTGAGATAGTACCGAAAATATATTTTGATAGTGTTTTTCATAGGATTGTATGATCTTGGGTATGACCCAAAAAGGAAGAATCATGGATAGCCCTATATATTGACATGAGCAAAGCAGAAAGGTGGTTATTTTACTGAGATGAGAAAAAATGATGAGAGACCCATATCTTTTTGAACATTGTCAATTCTACATGATCTTGTGAATGAAGCAGCATTAATTGAGATGTTTCTCTTTGTATAGTATTGAGAAAACATAATGGGAGGCTATATTTTGAAATCTGGTATAAGAATAAAGAATAAAACTTTATTATCTTCAGATCCTGCTTGCTCCTCCTAACCTTAAGAGCAATGAAGCAGTTGGAAAGTAGTTGTTAAGATTTATTTACATGTCTATCTCCCCTCTAAATTTTGAGTTCCAGGAGTAAAGGGTCATAACTTTCTGGCTTGTTGTCTTCATTATTTAGCAAAATACCTAGCACATTCTATTAGTTTTAACAATAGAAAATTGCCATTTCTACATGTCAGAAATGAAAAAAAATATCAGGCATTTCTTGTGGCTAACATAATATAAACTCAATTCATGCCTGCTCCATAAATAAATTATGTGACTGGAAGAGTTTGAAAACACTCAAACTTCAAATTCACACTACAGGAACTGCCTTGCAATTAAATCAGTGCTTATGTTTCTAAATGTTTTATAAAGTGTTATAATTAAATTAATACATCTCATTACAGACTGAGTTATGTGGTTACAATCACTGGGTAATATTTTTGTAGTATATTTTAAGTTATAAAAGTAAAGAACAAGAGAGTTTCTTTCAAATCTCTCATGGTGACTCTACTAGAATTTTTTTTTCATAGAATGTCATGAATACAAATGGAAGAAAAGCTTAGTAGAAACTTTTTGTGGCTTTATCTGGGATATGAAGCTAATTAACTATTCTAAAGATTAAGGATTATACACATTTTGGAATGTATACACATTTAGAATGTATACACCATATGCTCTAGGCAAAGCAGATAAGCTATGCGTAAGAGTACAGAATTCAGATTTATGTCAGTCTATTTCTCCTGTGTGACAAGATTTCAAATAATTTGATTTCCTCATCTCTGAATCCAGATACTTAACTTCCTTGGATATTTAGAACAATATGAGCTTTTTGATCATTATGACCCCTAGCAATAGCAAATTTCAAATAATTTGATTTCCTCATCTCTGAATCCAGATACTTAACTTCCTTGGATACTTAAAACAATATGAGCTTTTTGATCATTATGACCCCTATCAATGGAAATATAAACTCTAACTCCCCCACTAGCCTCTGTCATATGATGCCAGCTATGATATGCCCATGAAGAGACACAAAAAGAATACAGGAAGCGGGGCCAAGATGGCAGGCTAGAGGCAGCTATAGTGCATGGCTCTCATGAAAGAAATGAAAAGGACAAGTAAATATAGCACCTTCAACTGAAATATCCAGGTATTTGCATTCAACTGATGAGGAAAACACCTCGACCCACAGAGAACAGAGAAAAGCAGAGCAGGGTGATGGCCCACCTGGGAGTGACATGGAACCAAGAAAACCTCCATCTGCCCAAAGAAGTGGTGAGTGAATGGGCACCCCCAGGAAACCACACTTCTCCCGTGGATGTTTGCAACTCTCAAGTCAGGAGATTCCCTCATGAACCCACTTTACCAGGGTCTTTGGTCTGACACATAGAGCTGTATGTACTCTCAGCAGAGCAGCTGCTCAGGCATTCACAAAGATCCAGGAGCTTTACACACTCTGGCTCTAGGATCCCTGAAAAAGGTAATTGCAACTCAGGCAGGGCAAGGGATTGGACCTCTGTACGTACCTGTTGGAAAGGAGTTGAATTCAAGGGTCCAAGCAGCATCAATATGCAAGCCCCACTTTCACAGTTCCTAACAGTATAAAACCCACTGTCTTGGAATTCCAGCTAGCTCCCAGCAACAGGGTTGCACCTACCTAGGACTAGACAGAGCACTCAGGGGGAGGGGCAGACTACCATCATTGCTATTTGAGTGACACAGCCATTCCAGCCTAAGCTGACCCAGGGCGGTAACAGTGGCACATGCTCTAAAATGCATGGCCCATCTACTTCCTTAAGTGGGTCCCCAATCTGTTTCTCTTCACAGGGCACTTTCCAACTAGGGCCTCCAGCCACTCCTGTGGATATTCTCTGGCCAACAGAGGTTTGAAAGTTTCCTGGGACAGAGTCTATAGAAGGAGTGTTGGGCCAACACCTTTACTGTTTTGGCAACTTAGCCATTCTAACCTACAAGCTTTGGAGATCCCAAACTGACCTGTGCTGTCCTGGAGTACCAACAAGGGAAGCAGTACCCAAGCACAGCACAGCTGCTCTATGAATGTGTGACTAGACTGCTTCTTTAAACAGGTTTCCAGTCCTGTTTCTACTGATTGAGTCAGACCTCCCAGCTGGAGTCTCCAGCCACCTCCTACAGGTGTGTTTGGGAAAACAAGTTCCTACCACCCTGGGACAGAGCTCCAGAGGAAGGGGCAGGCTCCCATCTATGTTCTTTTGCAGCCTTCACTAGTGATGCATCCAGGTACTAGAAAACCTGAGGTGACTAGGGACTGAAGTAACTCCAAGCAAACCACAGCAGGCCTACAGACAAGTGGCCAGACTCTTAAAAGAAAAAAAAAATCCAAAGGTTAGCAACTTCAAAGACTGAAGGTAGATAAACCCACCAAAATGAAAAAGAATGAGTGCAAGAATGCTAAAAACTCAAAAAGCCAGAGTGCCCTCTTTCCTCCAAATGACCACATTACCTCTCCAGCAAGTGTTCAGAACTGGGTGGAGGCTGACATAGTTAAAATGACAGGAGTGGACTTCAGAATGTGGCTAAAATTGATCTTCACTGAGCTAAAGGAGCATGTTCTAACTCAATGCAAGGAAGCTAAAATTCATGATAAAACATTGCAGGAGTTGACAGACAAATAGCCAGTACAGAAAAGAGCATAACCAACCTGATAGAGCTGAAAAACACAATACAGGAAGTATAATGCAATCAGAAGTATTAATAGCAGAATAGATCAAGTGGAGAAAAGAATCCTGAGCTTGAAGACTCTCCTTCTGAAATAAGACAGCCAGAAAAGAAAAGAGAAAAAATAATTAAAAAGAATGAATAAAAACTCTTAGAAATATGTGATTATGTAAAGAGACAGAATATATGACTGATAGTTGTACCTGAAAGAGATGGAAAGAATGGAACCAATCTGGAAAACATATTTCAGAATATCATCTACGAGAACTTCCCCAACCTAGCTAGACATACCAACATTCACATTCAGGAAATGCAGAGAACTCCAGTAAGATACTCCACAAGAAGATCATCTCTAAGACATATTATCGTCAGATTCTCCAAGGTTGAAATTCAAAAAAAAAAAAAAATAATAAAGTTAAGGGCAGCCAGAGAGAAAGGCCAAGTCACCTACAAAGGGAAGCCCATCAGACTAACAACAACACAACTCTCAGCAGAAACCCTGCAAGCCAGAAGAGATTGGAGGACAATATTTAACATTCTTAAAGAAAATAATTTCCAACGCAGAATTTTCGTATCCAGCCAAAATAAGCTTCATAAAAGAAGAAATAAGATCCTTTCCAGACAAGGAAATGTTGAGGGAGTTTATAACCATCACCCTGCCTTACAAGAGCTTCTGAAATAAGCACTAAATATGGAAAGAAATAACCGTTACCAACCAATATAAAAACACACTGAAGTACATGGACCAGTGATGCTATGAAACAACCACATAAACAAGTCTGCAAAATAACCAGCTAGCATCATGATGACAGGATAAAATCCACACGTAACAATACTAATCGTGAATGTAAATGGACTAATTGCCCTAATTAAAAGACACAGAATGGCAAGCTAGATAAAAGACCCAATGCTACGCTATCTATCTTCAAGACACCTATCTCACATGCAATGACACACATAGGCTCAAAATAAGGGGATAAAGAAAAATTTACCAAGTAAATGAAAAACAAAAAAGCAGGGGTCGCCAACTTAGTTTCTGGCAAAAACAGACTTTAACACAACAAAGATTTAAAAAGACAAAGAAGGCCATTACATAACAGTAAGGGGTACAATTAAACAACAAGAGCTAACTATCCTAAATATATATGCACCTAACACAGGAGCCGCCACATTCATAAAACAAGTTGTTAGAGACCTTCAAAGAGACTTAGACTCCTACACAATCATAGTGGGAGATTTTAACAACCCACTGACAATATTAGACAGATCATCAAGGCAGAAAATTAGCAAAGATATTCAGTACTTGAACTCATCTCTGGATCAAGTGGACCTGATGCAAATGAAAAATAACTAAAATTTTAACATATAGTTTCTCAGGCCACAGCACAATCAAATTAGAAATTAACACTAAGAAATTCACTCAAAACCATACAATCACATGGAAATTGAATAACCTGTCCTCTATGAGTTTTGGGTAAGTAATGAAATTAAGGCAGAATTCGAGAAGTTATTTGAATCTAATGAGAACAAAGATACAGTATACCAGAATGTCTGGAACATAGCTAAGGCAGTGTTAAGAGTGAAATGTATAGTACTAAAACTCACATTAAAAAGCTGGGAAGATCTCAAGTTAACAACCTAATGTAACAACTAAAAGAACTAGAGAACCAAGAGGAAACAAATCCCAAAGCTAGCAGAAGATAAAAAATAACCAAAATCAGATATAAACTGAAAGAGACAGGAACACACAAAACCATTAAAAAGATCAATGAAACCAGGGGGTGGTTTTTGAAAAAATTAATAAAATAGATAGACCACTAACTACACTAATAAAGAAGAAAAGAGAAGATTCAAATAAACACAATCAGAAATGATAAGGGGAATATTACCACTGACACCACAGAAACACAAACAACCATCAGATAATATTATAAACACCTCTGCACATAAACTAGAAAATCTAGAACATATGGATAGATTCCTGGACACATACAAGCTCCCAAGGCTGAACCAGGAAGAAACTGAATTCCTGAACAGACCACTAATGAGTTCTGAAATTGAGGCAGTAGTAAATAGCCTACCAACCAATAAAAGCCCAGGCCCAGATCGATTTACAGCTGAATTCTACTACATGCACAATGAAAAGTTAGTACCACTCCTACTGAAACTATTTCAAAAAAACTAAATAGGAAGGACTCCTCCTTAACTCAGTCTATGTGGCCCACATCATCCTGATACCAAAACCTGGCTGAGATCCAAAAAAAAAAAAATAGGAAACCAGGCCAATATCCTTGATGAACATTGATGCAAAAATCCTCAATAAAATAATGGCAAACTGAATCCAGCAACACATCAAAAAGCTTATCCACCATGATCAAGTAGGCTTCATTCTTGGGATGCAAAGTTGATTCAACATACACAAATAAATAAATGTAATTCATCACACACACAAAAAATCTAAAGATGAAAAACACATGGTTATCTCAATAGATACAGAAAAGGCTTTTGAAAAAATTCAACTGCCTTTCTTTAAATCTCTCAATACACTAGATATTGAAAGAACATAACTCAAAATAATAAAATCCATCTATGACAAACCCACAGCCAACAAATCCACAGCCATTTTTGCTGAATGAGCAAAAGCTAGAAGCATCCCCCTTGAAAAACAGCACAAATCAAGGATCCCCTCTGTCATCATTTATATTTAACATAGTATTGGAAGTTCTGGCCAAAGCAATCAGGCAAGAGAAAGAAATGAAGGGCATTCAAATGGGAAGAGAGGAAGTCAATCTGTTTGTTTGCAGATGACATCATCTTATACCTAGAAAACTCCATTGTCTCAGGGCAAAAGCTTCTTAAACTGATAAGCAACATCATCAAAGTCTCAGTATACAAAATAAATGTGCAAACGTTGCTAGCATTTCTGTACATCAACAACAGTCAAGCCAAGAGCCAAATCATGAATTAATTCCCATTTATAATTGCCGCACACACAAAATAAAATATCTAAGAATATGACTAACGAGGGAAGTAAAAGATCTCTACAAGGAGAACTACTGACACAGGAGTTAAGAAGAAATCACTTAGGCAGATAGTAAGGGTATAGGAGTCCTCAGTAAGGCTTTTCTTTTTAATAAACAGCCAGCCAAAATCATTTTCTAACAAAGAGCGGCCTGTAAAGTCAAGCTACAGACATAGACAAGCAAGCTGGGAGCTTGCATAGGTGAATACTGGCAGGAAGTAGAGATTAAACATGTTGAAGATGGTGGCTCCATCTTCCGTTCTCTGCCAGTCATGTGTTCGGTAACAAGCAGACAAGATGGCACAGATCAACTGGAAAGCTAATTTGCATAATAAGATTAGGGTGGAGTGACCAGCCTTTCCTGCGTGCTGTGTAAACGTCATACCTGATGTAACCAACCTGTGAGCCCTACGTAAATCAGACACTGCCTCTTCAAACCAGACTATAAAATCCAGTGCATCCACTCTCAGCTTGTCCTTTCTGTTTGGAGAAGCAGCTCTCTCTCTAATTTTATTATAATTTAAAAATAAATTTTATTATAATTAAAATTTTTTCCCTGTGATATACTCTGATATGATAAAATTAAACTTATCAATCTTTCTTTTATGAATGGAGATTTTGGTGTTAGTCTAGGAACTGTTTCCCTACTCTTTTTTTTTTTTATACTTTAAGTTTCAGGGTACATGTGCACAACGTGCAGGTTAGTTACATATGTATACATGTGCCATGTTGGTGTGCTGCACCCAGTAACTTGTCATTTAACATTAGGTATATCTCCAAATGCTATCCCTCCCCCCTACCCCCACCTCACAACAGGCCCTGGTGTGTGATGTTCCCCTTCCTGTGTCCATGTGTTCTCATTGTTCAATTCCTACCTATGAGTGAGAACATGCGGTGTTTGGTTTTTTGTCCTTGCAATAGTTTGCTGAAAATGATGGTTTCCAGCTTCATCCATGTCCCTACAAAGGACATGAACTCATCATTTTTTATGGCTGCGTAGTATTCCATGGTGTATATGTGCCATATTTTCTTAATACAGTCTATCATTGTTGGACATTTGGGTTGGTTCCAAGTCTTTGCTATTGTGAATAGTGCCACAATAAACATACGTGTGCATGTGTCTTTATAGCAGCATGATTTATAATCCTTTGGGTATATACCCAGTAATGGGATGGCTGGGTCAAATGGTATTTCTAGTTCCAGATCCCTGAGGAATCGCCACACTGACTTCCACTATGGTTGAACTAGTTAACAGTCCCACCAACAGTGTAAAAGTGTTCCTATTTCTCCACATCCTCTCCAGCACCTGTTGTTTCCTGACTTTTTAATGATTGCCATTCTAACTGGTGTGAGATGGTATCTCATTGTGGTTTTGATTTGCAATTCTCTGATGGCCAGTGATGATGAGCACTTTTTCATGTGTATTTTGGCTGCATAAATGTCTTCTTTTGAGAAGTGTCTGTTCATATCCTTTGCCCACTTTTTGATGGGGTTGTTCGTTTTTTTCTTGTAAATTTGTTGGAGTTCATTGTAGATTCTGGATATTAGCCCTTTGTCAGATGAGTAGATTGAAAAAATTTTCTCCCATTCTGTAGGTTGCCTGTTCACTCTGATGGTAGTTTCTTTTGCTGTGCAGAAGCTCTTTAGTTTAATTAGATCCCATTTGTCAATTTTGGCTTTTGTTGCCATTGCTTTTCGTGTTTTAGTCATGAAGTCCTTGCCCATGCCTATGTCCTGAATGGTATTGCCTAGGTTTTCTTCTAGGGTTTTTACGGTTTTAGGTCTAACATTTAAGTCTTTAATCCATCTTGAATTAATTTTTGTATAAGGTGTAAGGAAGGGATCCAGTTTCAGCTTTCTACAAATGGCTAGCCAGTTTTCCCAGCACCATTTATTAAATAGAGAATCCTTTCCACATTTCTTGTTTTTGTCAGGTTTGTCAAAGATCAGATTGCTGTAGATGTGTGGTATTATTTCTGAGGGCTCTGCTCTGTTCCATTGGTCTATATCTCTGTTTTGGTACCAGTATCATGCTATTTTGGTTACTGTAGGCTTGTAGTATAGTTTGAAGTCAGGTAGCATGATGCCTCCAGCTTTGTTCTTTTGGCTTAGGATTGGCTTGGCAATGCAGGCTCTTTTTTGGTTCCATATGAACTTTAAAGTAGTTTTTTCCAATTCTGTGAAGAAAGTCATTGGTAGCTTTATGGGGATGGCATTGAATCTATAAATTACCTTGGGCAGTATGGCCATTTTCACGATATTGATTCTTCCTACCCATGAGCGTGGAATGTTCTTCCATTTGTTTGTATCCTCTTTTATTTCACTGAGCAGTGGTTTGTAGTTCTCCTTCAAGAGGTCCTTCACATCCCTTGTACGCTGGATTCCTAGGTATTTTATTCTCTTTGAAGCAATTGTGAATGGGAGTTCACTCATGATTTGGCTCTCTGTTTGTCTGTTACTGGTGTAGAAGAATGCCTGTGATTTTTGCACATTCAAACTCTGAAGATCTTCTCTTATGTTTGTTTTCTAAAAATTATACCATTTTACCTTTTATATTTAAATCTATGATTCATTTTGAGTCAATTTTTGTAAAAGTTGTGAGAATCAATGCAGGCTTTTGACTATGGATATTTAATTTTTCTAGCAATATTTAAGACTAGCTTTTCTTCATCAAATTATTTTTGTATTTTTGTCAAAAGTTAGTTGGACATATTTCTAAGGGTCTGTATCTCAGTTCAATATTCTGTTCCACTGACCTATATATGCGTCCTTTTGCTATTACTATACTGTATTAATTACTATGTTTTAATCTTCAGTGTTGGGTAGAGTGATTTATTTTACTTACTTCTTTTTTTTACAAGATAGCTTTAGCTATCCTAGGACTTATGCTTCTGGATATATATTTTAGAATGCATTTCAATTCCTTAAAAAACTATTGATGGAATTTTGATAAAAAGTGCACTAAACCTATATATCAGTTTGGTAAGAATTGACATCTTTATAATATTGTGCCTTCCAATCCATGTATATGGTGTGTTACTTGAATTATTTAGGACTTCTTTGATCTCTTTCATCAGAATTTTGTAATTTTCAGGATACAGATCCTGTACATATTTTGTTAGAATTGTGCCAAAGTTTTCATTTTCATTAGAGAAACTGTAAATTGTATTGTTTTTAATTTTGGTTTTTATTTGCTTGTAAATAAAAGTTTGATTGTTAAGTGTATTGATCTTGCTACTGTGACCGAGTTAAACTACTTATTAGTATTAAGAGATATTTGCTTTTGTTTTTGTAGATTCCTTAAGATTTTCTATGTAGACAATAAGTGACATCTGGAAATAGAGATCAGTGTTATGTGTTTCTTTATAATATATATGCTTTTTATTTATTTTTCTTGGCTTATTGTACTGTCTAGAAATTCTAGTACTATTTTCATAAGAGTGATGAGAACAGACATTTTTGCCTTATTCTTGATCTTAGGGTGTAGGCATTTAATATTTTACTTTTAAGTATGATTTTAGTTGTAGATTTTTATAAAATACTCTTTACCAAGCTGAGATCATCTCCTATGTTCCTAACTTACTAAAAGTTTTTATCATGAGTGTTAGATTTTATGAAATGCCTTTTCTGAATTAATTAATATGGTCATAAGATTTTTCTTCTTTAGCCTGATATAAATTACATTGATTGATCTTTGAATGCTGAACTAGACATGCATATATGAAATTACTCTTGGCCATAAAGTACAATTCATTTTATATATTATGAAAATTAGTTTGCTATTTTTTAAATGTCATTTTTTATTCAAGTTTTGTTCTGGTTCCAAAGATTTAGAAAACGTATGACTGTATTTTGTTTGAATATTTCTCATTCAATTAAAAATATATTAATGTCCTGAGTTTTATAATTTTAATTTTTTTTACATCTTTAAGCTACATTTTAGACTGAAGTTTTGGTTTATATTTCTATGGCACTTTTTATTTTGAAATATAAAACATTGTTTTACCTCATGTCTGAAATTAAGTAATTAAAGATCCACCTTTTGATTGTTTCTTTCTCCACTTCCTTCCCTTTTCTCTTTCCATATGCCCTCTTTGCCTTATTACTTAAGTTATTTCTATCATTCAAATTACTTTTGTTAATTGAAGCATATGTAAAATTATAGCATGTAAGGCTCAGAGCACATGTAAGATCATATCATGAGTAAGTAGGAAGTAAAACAAGACCATAGCAATTTAAAACATATCAAGAGAAAAATTTGCTTGCTTTTACAAAATATTTTTTTATTTTACAAGTCTGTTTCCATTTTCAGATTGCTGTCAACAGGATGGCCCAGAGAGAGTAAGCGAATATATGAGAAAATTTATGAGAAGAGACAAAAAGGAATAAAGATATTAATAGGCCAGAAATAAAATATATCTTCTTCTTCAGCCTCACGTGGGCTACAGTCAGTCTGCTATAACTTAGGGATCGGATGAAAGGTACAGAGATATCAATCTTGTTTTTAAAGTACCTCTACTTGCTCTAAGAAGTTCTGGCATCCATTCTTCAGTGAAGACTAAATATGTGGCAAGTGTGAACTTTAAAAACAAAACTATTTTCAACTTTTCAAGTGTATTAAAAATGTCTGAACAATTTCTAAATGTTCAGCCTTAGATAACTCAGAATGACTTAATGAAATTTTACTAACCTTTCCAAATATTGCACCTCAAAGCTGAGAGGAAGAATGAAAAATTTCGGCTTAAAGGGTAATATTTCAAGAAAAGTATAAATGCTTGAAAGTAAGGGCTGTAAAAACGTCTGTATAAATGTTTTCTTTTTCAAACATAGCTACAGTTGTCTTTCCAGAAGTATTTGATTAATTGAATCCAAAAATATTAAACATTTTTTAATGACTCACACCTGTAATCCTAGCACTTTGGGAGGCCGAGACGGGTGGATCACGAGGTCAGGAGATCGAGACCATCCTGGTTAGCACGGTGAAACTCCGTCTCTACTAAAAATACAAAAAATTAGCCGGGCGTAGTGTCGGGCGCCTGTAGTCCCAGCTACTTGGGAGGCTGAGGCAGGAGAATGGCGTGAACCCGGGAGGCGGAGCTTGCAGTGAGCCGAGATCGCGCCACTGTACTCCAGCCTGGGCGACAGAGCCAGACTCCGTCTCAAAAAAAAAAAAAAAAAAAAAATTAAACTTTTTTTTAAATAAACACGGAATTCCTTTTCATATTACTGACACTTTATAAATGGTTTATTAACTATTTAATCACATATCTCAATACAAGATAGACAGTGGATCAATGTAGTAATTTGCACTGCAATTAAATCTTAATATTAGCTATAAATAGAATATTTGTTAAGAATAGTGTGATTATTATTACTATGTATAATTTTATATTATATAAATAATAGTATATTAAAATTACAATCATGTGCCACAGAATTATGTTTCAGTTCATGATGGACTACATATATGACAATAGTCCCATATGATATAATGGAGCCAAAAAACTTATTTGGCCTAGTGACATCATAGCCATTGTAACATCATAGAGCAATTATTTAATTTTTGTATACATTTAAGTGTAGCTTGATAATGCTTACAAAGTCTACAAAAGTATACAGTAGTGTCTTAGGCCTTTGCATTCATTCACCACTCACTCAGCCACCAAGAGCAATCTTCAGCCTTGCAAATTTCATTCATGGTAACTGCTCCATACAGGTGTACCGTTTCTTAAAATCAATGATACCATATTTTACTCTACTTGTTTTATGTTTAGATATGTTTCGATACACAAATACTGATGGCAGCAGTGGCCAATCTGGAGGAGCCACTGAGAATATGCGAGCTGCAGCGGGGGAAGCACAGACAGGGTTGCATTTTCTGCAGAGTCATAAGGAGCTGGGAACAGGCAAGAGTCCTGCCCCCTACCAAGTTGGCAGGGCAGGAGCCCCATGCTCCTGGGCACAGCCACAGCTACCCAGCTTCAGCTCCAGACCTCAGCATCCCCGCACTCTCAGAGGCCCAGGAAGCCCCTTGCCCTTGCTGCAGGCTTAAAAGTGCTTGCTACTGCTCCCTGGCCTCTTCCTGCCCCCAGAGCCCACTCTGATTTCAAAGCAAAGTTGCAGCTGAGCCCAGGAGCGTGGGGCCCTGGCTAGGTATGCACGTGCTCAGGGAAGCCCCGACATGGCAGCCCCCTGCCACCTCGGCCTCCTCCAGACTTTGGGTGCCAACAAATATGGGAGGGAGACTGAAGGGGGGGATGAGGGTGGCTTGGCATGGGAATGCAGGCGCCCCTTGGAACAAACAGCCTGGGTGCCTGGATGGCATGTTGTTTGCAGCAGGAGGCAGACAGGTTCCTGAGCAGAAAGGTGAGGTTTCACCTCACCTTTAATCCAGGGACGTCTTGAAGCCTAGGGACAGGCTGGGCTACCAGTTCTGGGTGGAGTCCGTGGCCTGGAGCTAGAACTTATGGTGCTTTTTCCCCCGCCCCGGCCTGCCCATGGACCAATCAGCATGCGCTTCCTCCCTTTGAGCCCATAACTGTGGACTCAGCCAAACTTGGACAAAAGTCGGGACTACCAGCTGTAGGAAGGAGCTACCCACCACAGGTCTCCTCTCTGCTGAGAGCTGGATACTTGTCAGGATGACCTGCTATGGGTCTCTTGAGAGCTGTCCTGACACTCAGTGAAGCTCCTCTCTGCCTTGCTTACCCTCCAGTTGTCCACATACCTCATCCTTCCTGGACACATGACAAAAACTCGGGACCTGCCAAATGGCAAGACTGAAAGAGCTGTAACACAAACAGGGCTGAAACATGCCCCCTGCTCACCACATTGTGGGCAACAAGAAGGAGAGAAGAGCTACAGCTCTACTGGGCACCCAGACATTGGGGCTCCCCGTGGCAGGGCTGTGACATGCTGTAACAGAGTCTTTGGGGCTCTGCAGTTCCTGGAGTCTTTGAGCTTTTGGGCATCTTTATGTTTCCCTTGTTCAGATGCTGGTGCCTGCAGCGGAAGCTGCTTGTAGTATGTCTGTTCCAGTGCAGCCTCGCATGAAGCTTGTGCCTGTGTTGGCGTCCCTGGAGCTGCCTGCCCCACCAAAGCTGGCATCCCTGGCCGTGTGCATTGGCCGCACCCCATGCTTGCTTGCTCACACACCCCTCACCACTCTGCACCTGGCTCGCCTTTGACTGGCATAGGATCCAGGCCAGTAGCACAAGCCAAGCACAGCTTGCTGGGCCCAGTGTGTGGAACAAGACCAGCGAGCACAAGCAAAACCAAAGCAGAGGTGCCGCCTACCACAGGTTGAAAAATGCATGTTCTCACTCACAGGTGGGAATTGAACAATGAGAACACACGGACACAGGAAAGGGAACATCACACACCGGGGCCTGTTTTGGGATGGGGGGAGGGGGGAGGGATAGCATTAGGAGATATACCTAATGTTAAATGACGAGTTAATGGGTGCAGCACACCAACATGGCATATGTATACATATGTAACTAACCTACACATTGTGCACACGTACTCTAAAACTTAAAGTATAATTTAAAAAAAAAAGAGGAAGAGACACCAGAGAGCTCCCTCTCTCCTCAAGAGCAGAGGAAACGCCCGGGGAGGACACAGGCAGAAGACAGCCATCTACAATCCAGGAAAAGAGCTCTCTCCTAAAACCGGATTTCATAGCACCTTGATCTTGGACTTCTAGCCTCCAGAACGGTGAGAAAATAAATGTGGTTTAAGTCAAAAAAAAGAAAAACAATTAGAAAAATAAAACAAGCAATATTTTTGTTTCATTGAAATATTTTTTGTACTTATATAGTCCCTATCTTCAAAACCTCAAGTAACTGAAGAAAATTAAATAAATGCCAGGTCTATCTGATTTAAAATGAGTTCATTATTGATTAAACATTGTAATTCCATTAAAAATTCTAACTAGTCAAATACTTCATTTAATGAAAACTACAAATTTGGTAACACAGTTAGAAATATCTATTTAATTTCTCCAAGTTCCTTACTTGGATACCGAGACCAGCTCCATCAGGGAGACCCTAACCCAGCGGTGCTAGAGGAATTAAAGACACACACACAGAAATATAGCGGTGTGGAGTGGGAAATCAGGGGTCTCACAGCCTTCAGAGCTGAGAGCCTCGAACAGAGATTTACCCATGTATTTATTGACAGCAAGCCAGTGATAAGCATTGTTTCTATAGATTACAGATTAACTAAAAGTATTCCTTAAGGGAAAGAAAGGGATGGGCCGAAATAAAGGGATGGGCTCTGGCTGGTTATCTGCAGCAGGAGCATGTTCTTAAGGCACAGATCGATCATGCTATTGTTTGTGGTTTAAGAACGCCTTTAAGCGGTTTTCCGCCCTGGGTAGGCCAGGTGTGCCTTGCCCTCATTCCGGTAAACTCACAGCCTTCCAGCATGGTCGTCATGGCCATCACGAACATGTCACAGTGCTGCAGAGATTTTGTTTATGGCCAGTTTTGGGGCCAGTTTATGGCCAGATTTTGGGGGCTTATTCCCGACCCTTGGAGATCAAGTTTTAGATTTTGATTTACATAACATTGGAGAAAAGATTCATTGCTATCTAGTCTCCAGTTCCAGTGTTTCCACCTTAGTCCTGACCAACTTCTGAAATTTTAATAACCTTAAGACCAACCTTTCTTTCTTTAGACTATTCGTGAGTCATGTTTTAAGCACCATTAATGGAACTCTCTTAATTATGAGCCAACACTTACTGAATCTAGCAGCTGTAATTTGCATTTTACTTAGCCAGTGATGTGCTGGAGCTAGCTCTAACTGAGTCATAAAGATAACTTTGACATTTTTTCCCATTTTCCTATTTGGTGACGTGAAAGTGGGAACTTGAAGTTGGTCATGCTAAGGAAATTAACACCACAGAAATCAGCAAATAGTACATAACTGAGCTTTTGGCCCACTCTCCAGTGAACTAATTGCTAAATATTCACTGTCACATCATTGCTTATAGAGCTTCATAAACTGATCCTACCACACTCACATCTAAAGGCGAAGATAATTTAGGAACCTGGTATGTATTGTAATTTCTTTACTCTTTGTGACTTGGGAAACAATGTAAGATTTCTTACAATTCTGCAGGCTCTTCTTTGTTTTTGTCACATTGCTTTGCTGACTTTATCTCACAAACCACAGTTCCTTTCATTTCAGTGTTTGTACTATTCTTTCCCCAGTCCAAGAAGTTTAACATTTAAACTTACACAGGTCTACATGTACATACTCTTTCCTCACTATTTATCAACACCTGTTAAAAGACATGACAAATGCTTTGAAGATAAAAATAATAAGTCATATCTTTTTTTCTGTACTCTAAATCACACTAGATATTTTGGTATATATGTGATAGTTAAGATAAACTTTAAGCAAATTATGATAAATTTTAATATTTTAATCAAGTTTGAATAGAATAAGAATAAAAGAATAGAGTGTCTATACACACACACACACACACACACACACACATATATAAATTCTAACTAGTCAAATACGTCATTTAATGAAAACAACAAATTTGGTAACACAGTTAGAAATATCTATTTAATTTCTCCAAGTTCCTTACTTGGATGCTGAGATCAGCTCAGTCAGGGAGACCCTAACCCAGTGGCGCTAGAGGAATTAAAGACACACACACAGAAATATAGCAGTGTGGAGTGGGAAATCAGGGGTCTCACAGCCTCATATATATGTGTGTGTGTGTGTGTGTGTGTGTGTGTATTTGCATACTTACACATGCACACACACACATATACACACACACATAGCCTAATCTGGTGTGTATGACAATACACTAGAAGGAGCTGAGATTTAGTGATTAAAATAAATTGAGTTTAAATCACTACTCTATCACATACTAACATAAATGTTGAAGGTAGTTCTATTTTCCCTTGTGTGAAAGAGAAATACAATTATAGGGTTAATAGGTTTGTTGTGAAGGACAAATGAGAGAATATATTCAAATATCTTATGTGCCTTAATACTACCTGGCACACGATCATTTCCAAATCATTTTTGTTATTTTCTCCATTCCTTTAACAATCAACAATACAGTATATCACTTGATATAGTTTGGATGTGTGACCCCACCCAAATCTCATGTCAAATTTTAACCCTCAATGTGAGAGGAGGACCTGGTGGGAGGTGATTGGATCATGACAGTGGACTTCCCCCTTGCTGCTCTCATAATAGTGGGTGAGTTTTCAGGAGATCTGATTGTTTAAAAGTGGATAGCACCTCCCCCTTTTCTCTCTTCCTCCTTATCCAGCCATGTAAAATGTGCCTGCTTCCCCTTCACCTTATGCCATGATTGTAAGTTTCCTGAGGCCTCCCCTATGGAACTGTCAGCCAATTAATGCTCTGTTCTTTATAAATTACCCAGTTTCAGGTATTTCTTTATAGCAGTGTGAGAACTAACTAATACATCACCCTTCAATAACATAAAAATGCAATTTTTAAAAATCAGCTTTTTGAAAAATTTTTAAAGAAACTTACGCAAACATTTTCCAGCCTATGACAGTTTATCTCTTTCACCATTAAGCATTTGGTTATGTTAGCAGTAATCCTGCCTGTTTTCAATCTCCACTGTCTCCATCATGTATAGACATGAAAGATATTATTTCCTATAAGCAAACTCAAAAGAGGGAAAAGGTGAAAACAGCCTGTCATTATTGGGAACATAGGAATCTAGAAGTGATAATTAACAAATATTATGGTCCAAACATACATATGTATTTCTAAAGATATGTGCTAACAAGAAATCTTGTATAGAATGCATTGAATTCAACCTCATGTTACAATCAGTTCTTCAAAACTATTGCTTTTATAAATACTTAGATTATCATTGTCAGCACCTCAAAAATTCAAAACATTTTCACATATTAAAATCTCTGTTACTTATTACAACGTCCTTTGAATAATATAATCGTTTTTCTTATAAGGAAAAAAATTGGTGCATCAGAGCTTCAGGGGTGCAAATAGCTAAGAACGTAAGAACTAAAGTATCTTTTCTTTCACTGTTTGCCTTGATATTTATTTTAAGAATTCAGGTTTCAAATGTATAATTGATCTCTACTTCTTTTCACATAGCCAATTTTGATTTGTACAAAGAGCCCATTCAAATTCTACATATACATACTGACATCAATTGCTAATGGATATTCTCTGCATATCCTTGGCACAATGACAATTTAATTTTCACAGAGGCAAGCACATACCTAAGCTTGTCATACAAACATCCAGGCTTCTCATCAACTGGTTCTTTGGGGTTGGGACACATTAGGGAAACAACATTTTATCTTGCATACCATATGCTGTCTCTTACAGAAATATGACAGCATCATTTCTTAAACTCAAAAGCCAGGTCAAGGTCCCAAAATATCATCTGGCTCTACATTACCTTTAGTAAATGTTTTCCTTTTAACTGTAGAACCTTAAATGATTAATCAATCTTCAAGTGATTACATTGGAATGCTGTCACCTGATACAGATGATAAGTCATCGTCATAGCTGAATGACAGAAAGGGGAGATTGCATTCAGAACATTTCCACTTGGGATATAAATATTTATCTGAGCTTCATCCTTGGCCCCAAAGGGCCTTTGCCTCTATTCTGTTTTTATGTTTATTTTGGTAACAATACAACACAATGCACTTAAATGATACAGTTAAAGGGTATGGATTCTTCTAAATAGTTTAAATATCATTCTCATGCATATTGGAGTAAAATTTTAAATCTGAAATACCCTGAATCTCCTGAGACAAATCCAAATTTGCATGAAAGTTCAGATGTCAGGCTTCTTCTAACTCAGATAAAAGTGTTTCTACTAGGAAAGTTGTAGCAGCAGATAGAATTGTTTCCAAGACACAGGCATCTTGAAAAATATATTTGGATGTGAAATCAAAACCTTGTCTTTTGACCAAGAATTTATTTTCTAGATTTATTTTACTCCTCTTTATGTTTTTAGATCACTTAAAAAATGATGTCAGAAGTAACCTTAGTGACAGTTCATGTTGTTTTTCACCACAAAAGCAAATATTTTGAGCATCATAATTTTCCAGAATATGACAGAAAAAAAGCTGTTTTTTATGAAATTTTTTTGAAGAAGAAAACAAATTATTTTCCAAACAAAAAACTTAAAACTTTGTGTAACCTTTTATTTCTTTTTAAAACTTGAATGTAGAAATGTTGAGGGGTTACGGCCAGGCGCGGTGGCTCAAGCCTGTAATCCCAGCACTTTGGGAGGCTGAGGCGGGCGGATCACGAGGTCAGGAGATCGAGAACATCCTGGCTAACATGGTGAAACCCCGTCTCTACTAAAAATACAAAAAATTAGCTGGGCACGGTGGCGGGCGCCTGTAGTACCAGCTACTCAGAAGGCTGAGGCAGGAGAATGGTGTGAACCTGGGAGGCGAAATTTGCAGTAAGCTGAGATCACGCCACTGCACTCCAGCCTGGGCGATAGAGCAAGACTCCATCTCAAAAAAGAAAAAAAAAAAAAAAGAAATGTTGGGGGGTTACAAATGATGTTGGCATCAATACAATTCTGAGTTTAATGTACATATTCTATATCAGAATACTCAGAAATACAAATTTCAGTTCATTTGGCATTGATTTGTGAAGTATTTAGGGATTCTAATTATAATTTTCATTTGATCAGTTGATGGTTGAGATAACAGGTTGACACTTTTATTTAAAAAAGTTTACAAGTAACCTTTGTGGGAATATATCTCTGGACGAGTCTTACTCCAACATTGAGACATGTCTCAGGATGGCTATTATTCATGCTCCCCTGGGTATCAAGCCCTGCAGTATGCCAGTCACTGCAGTGCACCAGTTGATGCAGCTATGAAATTGCAAACAAATGATGTTTCTGCCCTCCTAGAGTTTGCATTCTGTTGGAGGTGAGGAGTAGATAATTTAAAAATAAAATAAATATATATTTTGTGACATAATTCTAAGTGCTATTGAGTAAAATGAGCTAACAAGACGTGAAGTCTCATGTCAGATTTCTAATTTATGTAGGGTGATGTGGGAGATGATACTGATAAAGATGGCAATTAGAGAGAGATAATGAATTAAGAGTGAGCCTTGTGATAACTGGAGGGAGCACCCACTAGGCGAAAGAATTCCTCTAAGAAAGAGCCAGGAGGCCAGCTGTAGCTTGAAGAAAAAGAACAGAGATGAGAGAGGTAGAAAATGAGGTCAGAGAAATAGCCAGGGTCCAGACAATATTAGGTCTTGTGCTCTGTTGTAAGGCCATAGGCCTATGGTGACAGAAATGATACTGTATGCCATTAAACATCCTAGTGTGGAATTTACTGCAGGTCCAAAATGACAACAAAAATGATCATTGTAAGCAAAGATTCAGGCTAGCTTTAGGGGAACATTATTAAATTCTTTTAATCCTTGATGTGAGAACAGCCTTCTTACTTTGGTGGATGTGGAGTGGCCAGTATTAATACAGGCCTGCTGTGTGCTACAGCAGTAGGAGTGTGAGCACTTAGCAGCAAGCATTACAGAGGACGTGGGAGGGCAGCAGGTAAAAGTAGGAGGTGTCTCTGCCAGAGTAAGGAAGAATAAAGAATCTCAGAGATTTACTGAACTACTGAACTGGGATCTAGAGACAAAGAACATGTTCTTTTTTTTTATATATATACTTTAAGTTTTAGGGTACATGAGCACAACATGCAGGTTAGTTACATATGTATACATGTGCCATGTTGGTGTGCTGCACCCATCAACTCGTCAACCCATTTAACGTTAGGTATATCTCCAAATGCTATCCCTTCCCACCCCCCAACAACAGGCCTTGGTGTGTGATGTTCCCCTTCCTGTGTCCATGTGTTCTCATTGTTCAATTCCCATCTATGAGTGAGAAAAGGCTTGGGCTGTACCTTCACAAGTAGCATGATAAAGGACAACAGAATCTCATTTATTTCATCACTATTGCAAATATCATTCAATTTTACTTTTCTATTAGCTTTGTCCTGGACAGAAAAATATTTAACTCCAAGTGGTAATTTTTCATGAATAGCTCACCTTAATATGAAAGTGAATTATAGCTATGGCTTGGGAAGAAGGCAAAAATGTTTTTCCTAGAAATAATGTCCCATCACACAGGAAAAACATGCTAATATAGACAACAGCAATGTCAGAAGGCATAATGTTCTTTGACTGTTAACGGGCTCCTTCCTACCTGACCTATTCACTGAGAATTATCTTCTCAGTTTCTGTGATAATGGCCTGTCCCATATCCTTTTTTACATCACTATTTTTCATGTCCACCTATTCAGTTCCTATTTATGATTTCTGTTGTAATTTTTAGTGTGATTCCTGCTGCTAGATGTTTTGTCATAGGCTGCCTATTCCTTCCAGGGATGTGCCAGATTTTATCCAGGAAATCTCATTAAAGATGTCAATAATGACAATTTGGTAGTTTTCCAAACTGAATTAAGAATATTTATTGATTAATATTCTCTTCTACATCTAGGTCCAATTCAGTAAGTTGAATTTAAGAAAGAAGCATGGAAGAGAATTTTGTGGCCAATATTATGACAAATGTCTTTTATAAATGGTTCATTCAAAATCCTGCACATTTTCTGCTATAACATTTTCTAATGTCATCAAGGCCTATCAACTACCTCTGTGGATAAATAAAGTTCAAAATTATCATTATATTATTTTTTACAAAACAATATTACATACCATTTCTGACTTCAATAAGATATTCTAGAAAATATTTACATTCCTCCCCTTCACATTTCTTTCTTATCATTTACTAAGGTCAACACAAACATGATAGAAATAAGCCTTAGTTGATAAAAACTTTCAAACATTTATTTTATCCATTTATTTATATTAAAGCAGAATAAGGACTGACGTCTTTTGAAGTTGGGAGGGTAAAACTTAACTGTTGTAAAAGTATTGCTATTGTACACTAGAATCATATAAGTCTACCACCTTTGACCTACATAAACTGTAATTTCATGCAATTAAACCAACATAGAATAAAATGATGTAATAATATCAGTCTTATGCTTTTCAGTCTGGAATCCTATTTAGGATAGTAAAATGATTTCATTAAGTACTAATCCATAAATTTTTATGCACGTTTTATAGTCAGAACTATCTTTCAAAGGAATCTTACCTCCAAGACCTATAAATATATGTAACAGGTAAATGTACACCTGCTGCAGTTCTCACAAAGGAGAAATCCTAGAGCCCTAACTTCCAGAATTTTCTCTTTCTCTCTACTTAGTAATCATAGAAATGATTGAGGAAAGGTAACTTGAAATAATTTCTCTAGTACTTTAAACTCATTTTACAAATAATAAGTGAGATTCCAAGGGACTCACTTGGAATCTGGTCTGGTCTAAATCTGTTTTAAAACTGACTAGACCAGATTTAGATATCAATGGCTGACTAATAAATAAAATATAAGCTAGCTGGGCATGGTGGCTCACACCTGTAATCCCAGCACTTTGGGAGGCCGAGGTGGGTGGATCAACTGTGGTCAGGAGTTTGAGACTGGGCTGGCCAACATGGCAAAACCCCATCTCTACTAAAGATAGGAAAAATTAGCCAGGCATGTAATCCCGGCTACTCAGGAGGCTGAGACAGGAGAATCACTTGAACCCAGGAGGTGGAGGTTGCACTGAGCCGAGATGGTGCCACTGCACTCCAGCCTGGGCCACAGACCGAGACTGTGCCTCAGAAAAGAAAAATATATGTATGTATATATACACACATAACACTTATAATTTATACACTAAATGCCTCAAAAGTGTGTGTCTCACAGACATTCAGGTTTTTTCTCTGTTATCTATAAATTTACATATCAGAATGCCAAAATATAAAAACACCCTTGAAAGACCATGCAGCCAGTAATGATTTGCATAGTTTATTCTCTTGTTGCTATTTTTCATAGTGTCTGAGTACACCACCTGCTTATTTTTATTAATTTTTTTAACTTGGCAGTGATGAGTTGATGGTTTGGAAATATGTGTTATGAATGTTATTTCATGGTAAAGTATAGTTAATCCTTGCAGAATTGTGTCACCAAAACTTTTTGAGAAATAATTGGTTTACAGCACTAGAAATTATTGTTCAAGCCTTGGAATCTTGAGATCAATTAGATTAGAAAAAGGCATCAATATATTTTCCAATTAATTCCCTCAGAAGTGCACAGTTTAAAAGAGAGCATGGGTATCATTTAAACTCAATCTGGGCATTGTATCAATTAACTTGGAAGACAGAATTATAATATAACTCTAAAGAAGTTTAAAAAATATTGACTTGGCTTCTAATCAAAGAGGCTATGCTCTAAACTCTTAAATATACATAGTTTACTATATTAATATTCTGCTTGTATTAAAACAAAATCTCAAAATTTTGCCAGGTCTCTGGAGAGCTAACAAGCCAAAAACCTGTGAGTCGTCCACATTATTTTCTCTCCTTCATTTCAAGCCCCTCTCTCTTTTCAGGTAGTTTGTGTGATCTAGACTTTGTGTAAAGTAGTAGAATACATGTCCAAGCCACATTCTCAAACTCATGTTCACTGCAATAAATCTGATTCCTATATTATTTCTATGCTGAATTTAAATAACTTTAAAGTTATGAGACAATATGAGGGAAGAGAGAATACAATACAGAATTCCAAATATCATAAATGTTTTGTCTTGTAATTTGGTATATGACATCTATTTATCCCTCTCATATATCAACTACATAGGAAATACTCTCTGTGAATTTCCCTAATAATATTTTGCCTTGCACAAGTGAATTCTACACATATTTGCATAATAATTAAACATTTACTAGGAAATATGCTACAAATACTTTAAGAACCTGGTGCTTTTTTTTTTTTAGCATTTTTCTGTCTAAACAATGTTTTGCACATGGAAATCAAAGAAACAATCATCTAGAAAATGTTTGTGGTCACCCAAGCAAACATTATTTATGAAGAGATTCAAATTTAAGCACCTTTTGTTTGAAATCATTATCTGTGCACTGCACAGTCCTCTGAAAACAGTGACATCCTCTGTAGCTGTCCCTTTGTGACCAACTCCCTCCAAAGCTTTTGTTGCAGTGGCCTCCACAGGGTTTGGTACTAGGGTCCTCTCACCTGACAGGCCATCATCCTGTTTGTCAGGACACCTTTATGGCTTTACTCCTACTACTTCTGCTTGCCCCAGGAAAAACCCAAAGGCTATCTATTCATCTGCTGCCTTCTCTTTTTGCTTTGCTTTTGGCTCCAGCCAGTCTCCAGCATTACAGAGGAAAGGCAGGCATCAGCTGCCCCCTACACACCAGGTCAGTGTTTCTCAAATTCTACATGGAGGAAATAACCATATTTTTTCTCTTTTATTAAATTTCAAGGATCACAAACCATATTTATGTAAAATGCGATGAAAATAAATTACTAGAAAAATGAAAGGAAACATAAAAAAGTATCAATATAATCCTTAGTCTTTAATATAATTAGACACAACAGACATTCTCAAATTGCCAATGTTTATATTCAACGTCTCTACTATTTAAGCAGTTCAGGGACCACCTTTTGGGTAGCACTGCTCTAGGAGGCAAATGTCAGGTCCTCCTGTGAACCCTTTGAATATACTACAGTGGGCTGATAGAACTCTGCAGAGTAGAAAGCATCAAACCTAGAGGTGAGATGACAATGACCCTTTTTTTGTCCTCATTCTCTATGGGTGCTTCTCATCCCCAGTCCCTACTTCATGAAAGCATATCCCACTTAGTGGAAAGCTCTGTATTTTGATGACCCTAATTCTCTTTTTGAAGTCCTGGTCTTTTGTGAGTTGGAAGTGGGTGATGCGGGGTAGTGCAACCATCATTTAGAAAATTTGGCATGTGTTGTTCTAGCAGCTTTTAATAAAGTGATGTTTCTTATCAATTTTCTTCAATTTGGAGCTTCTACAAAAGTCACAAAACTAAAATCGCATTCACTGTCCTATTACATTAGTATAAAATTAAAACACTTTAAAAAGCCCTCTTATCTCTCCCCTCAATATATGTTTAGCTAATCTAAAAATTTAGTTAGTTAAATACATTTTTTAAAGAAGAAAATCATAAGCAATTAATAGATACCTGAAACTTTACTTAAATTTGAAACACATGTGTACATTCTTTCATTCTTTTGACATATGGTCAAGACCATTCCTTTGATTATATGTCCACTGAGTGTTATTTCCTACCTTCATTTTTCCATGACATTCAACCCTATCATTTATCTAAAACATCCAATTACTATAAGAATCACAAGGTTTGGAAAGTAGATTGATTTTCAGGTTAAAACTCCACCAGTAGAAGCGGGCATATACTGGCATCTAAAGAAAGGTCTACTTGTGAAATGTTTTTATATCAGTGTTCTCTGAGTATCATAAATTTATTTAATATTGTTCTCATGAGATCTGATGATTTTATAAGGGGCTTTCCCCCCTTTGATCAGCACTTATCCTGCCTGCCGTCCTGTGAAGAAGGTGCCTTTTTTCCCCTTTGCCTTCTGCCGTGATTGTAAGTTTCCTGAGGCCTTCCCAGCCATGTGGCATTGAGTCAATTAAACCTTTTTTCTTTACAAATTATCCAGCCTTGGGTATGTCTTCATAGCATCATGAGAACAAACTAATACAGTAGTGCATCTTGGAAGGGACTCTTTTCCAGCCGCCACCTTAGCTGTGCCTTCAAAGTCTATTCAATTGCTATATTAGGCTGGCAACTTCTGGGTTGTAAATGTCATGGTTATGAGCCCATTGCTCCATCTTCGTTGATAGATATAATCCCTTATCCTGAAATATTGTGATATAGTGTATTTGTCAGGAGTTCAAATACTGTATTCCTTGGATTAGTAGTGCTGGCTGAGAAGACACACCCATAACCACAATGCATGCAAATTCCAGTCAAGATGAATATCCACATCTTCCATGGTAGAAGTGGTTTAATATAATAAACTTTCCACCAACTACTGGATGTCTTCCAAAAAATGATACCTGATCAAGGACTCAGTGTTGGTCTCTATTACTGACACTGGTACATTCAGCAACTACAGTAGTTAGGCCATGGTGAATAGACTACTTAATGGCCTGCCCCTGCCTAGCCTTCCTCTGAGCCTACGTGACTCCTTTGTTCATGCTCACCGTACCTGAATGGAGATGGCTGATGAAAATGGCTAATGTCAAAAAATAAAAGAACAAAAATATTTTTAAAAAGTATGGGCCAGGCGCGGTGGGTTGTGCCTCTAATCTCAGCACTTTGGGAGGTTGAGGCAGGCAGATCACCTGAGGTCAGGGGTTCAAGACCAGCGTGACTAACATGGTGAAACCCCATCTCTACTAAGATTACAAAAATTAGTTGGGTGTGTCGGCACATGCCTGTAATCCCAGCTACTCAGGAGGCTGAGGCAGGACAGTCACTTGAACCTGGGAGACGGAGGTTTCAGTGAGCTGAGATCATATCACTGCACTCCAGCCTGGGCAACACAGTGAGACTTCATCTCAAAAAAATAAAATAAAATAGGTATTACTACTTGATTGTCTGATGCCTTATGCAGGGTGGATGATCTTTGATAAATATTAACATGCAGTACAGGATCTTCACACCTTATGCTTACTCCCGTAGCTACATTTACAAGCTTCTTCCCCAGACCTCAAATCTTTCTTTTTTTATGGCCTCTAACCAGCTCGCCGAATTGTTTGCCATCCCTCATGAATCTATATGTATTTTTAACTAGGCCACTTCCCTTTCCACACACAGTAGATGATCATGTGCAACTGTTGAAGTCTGGCCCAAGAAGAGGGTTTTCTTTAACTGCAGAGCAAACCTAAAGTAGGGCTACAGTTTAATTAAAGTCAGTTTTTAGCCTTTATACACATAAGTATCTGACTCATTTGAGAATCAAGCCTATCAGTTTATTTCTTCTGTCAACTGGACATAAGAGACCCATCCATCTGATCATATGTATGAACTGAAAGAGAGGCATCAATGCAAAAGTGGTGATGTGGTGGTTAGGTGTTTTGTGTGTGTGTGTGTGTGTGTGTGTGTGTGTGTGTGTGTGTGTTTTCTGGTGGAATCTCACTCTGTCGCCCAGGCTGGAGTGCAGTGGTACAATCACGGCTCACTGCAACCTCTGCCTCCATGGTTCTAGTGATTCTCCTGCCTCAGCCTCCCGAGAAGCTGGGACTACAGGTGCTCACCACCACACCCAACTAATTTTTTTGTATTTTTAGTAGAGACCGGGTTTCACCGTGTTAGCCAGGATGGTCTTGATCTCCTGACCTTGTGATCTGCCCAATTCAGCCTTCCAAAGTGTTGGGATTACAGGCATGAGCCGCTGCACCCAGTCAGTGGTTAGGGTTTTAACCTACACAGCTTATATGTGTTATTTGTCCTGAATTATGCTTGATCTCATAGATATATGCATCTTCCAATAGATTTATGTGAACCCACTCAACTTCCTAAATTCACGCATATTAGGCAGTTCGGTCTATGTGGCTATAATATAACCTATGGTGAGATGCTCCATCCTACCAGGATCCAGTAGCTTGCCAAAAAGCCTTTTATGAATATTATATAGTTCCCAACAGATACTTTTAATACAGTAATTTTCAAACTTTTTAACCTAGAAGCTCTTCACCATCTTAAAAACCTTCAAGAACACAAAAGAGTTTGTGTTTAAGTGGATGATATAGTTATAGGCATATACCTATAGATGTAGATATAGGTATGTTCCTTGTATTAGAAATTAAAATTAAGAAATTTAAAAAATATTTATTAGATAATTAAAATAATGATAGCAAAGTTATTACATGTTACCACAAATAATGGGTTCATGAAAAATAATTATACTTCCCAAAAGAACTTAATGATATGAGGGCCATTGTTTCACATTTTTGCAAATATTTTTTATCCAGCTTATTAGATGAGAGTTGGATCCTTGTAACATCAGCTACTACATCAGTCTGTTGTTATATAATGTCTTGATTAAACTATATGAGAAATATCTAGTCTCAAAATATGTAGTTCAAAAAGGAAGAATATTTTAGTGGTCTCTTCATATAATTTTGGATATTCTGCTTTGATCCTATACCAAAATTCAAGCTGCAGTTTTTCAAAGCTGAGTTGCAATTTGGAGCATGGCACAATGTTAATGACATTCCATGCATGGTTCTATAATGTTATGCAATAAGCACTTAGAAAATAATAATACAATAAGTTATTTAATGAGATCTTTCAACTGTTGAGATATCCCGTTATACAATATCAAAAACTCACATTAATTCATAACAATTGATCTCACTGGAAATTTTTTGAACTGTTAGGAAACTATCAAGTTCACAGTTTCAGATACAAATTTCACAAAACTCTAATTTTCATTTGAACTCTCAATTGTTATCATGATTGGTAATAAGTAATGCTAAGTAATTCTTTCAGGTATGAAAAATGTCACGATAAAATTAAGTAGTTCAAATGACTGCAAAGTAATTACAATATTTTGTACATAGTTAAACAGGTTATAAGAAAGAGTTCCAATATAGGCAACTATATTTTAATACTCTTATTGCATTATATAGTTTAAAAAAATCAAGAAATATAAGCAGTTGATATAAATACATTTAGCTCTATAACATACAAATTCTGAATAAACATGTAAAGTAGTTGAATTCACAAATAACTAAACAATACTTGTAAATGTCCATCTACAGACACACATACATACACACACATAACATGAATATGGAAGATGCACATATTTGTGTTAATTTTGAGATTTGGGACTTTTTGAGGAATTTAAAAACCAAAAAATTTTCTAAAGCAAGTTCAAAACTTGTGTCAAACTATTCAATTTGATCCATTGATTTTTTTGAATAAGCCTATTTATTAAAATTTGACACTGTTATATTTGTTCAATATTAACATGAGAGAATATTATACAGTCTTTGGAAACATTATTTTTCAATAGGTAAATTGTTCACTGTATTTGTGCATATGTGTGGAAAATAAAGCACCTTATCAAATATCATCTCCTCAGAGAAATCCTCTGATATACGTAACAGTCATCCATAATCAGCCTTTGATGTTTCTTTAGTCAAAATGTGTTTCTCACCCATTGAAACTTAGATGAAATATCAAAATATTTTCCTCACTCAATGAAATTTAGTTTCTATGAAAAAATATGTTATATATTTTCTACCCTGTTTACCAAGCAGACATACAGAACCTGGCACATTGTGGCCATTCAACAGGTAATTGTCATATTTATGAGTAACTGAAAATTAACAGGATATAAGGAAGGGATAAACTTTTATTGTGCTATCATTTTCTGAGGTTTTTTTTGGGCAAATTATTCTTCAAGACAATCTTTCCTATTGTAATCACAAAATTACATGTTTGAGTAAGAATAATCTGGAAAAGACATCCAGTACCTAAGGTTTTGTTTTCTTCTGTTTTACCTTTTCAGTTACTGTCAAATTGAAAACTATTCTAGCACTTAATGTAAGGGCTATTTGATAATACAGTGATTCCATATTCAAAACAGGCAATTAAAGTATTTTGGTGTTTACTCAATTTCTACTGTGTCTTCATTATTGCTTTTGTTTATTTTTTTATAGCAGACAATTCCTGTACCATGAGGACAAGATCCTCTATAGCTCTGGAATTGCCCTTCTGAGTACGCTTTCCAGAATGTGAATTTATTATTGATTGATAAGGCTGTGCTAGCGCATTTTTATGACCTAAAGCACTGTTCTTTTTTACTGTGCTTTACTCTATGGTAGTTTTACTGAAAAAATCCCAGATGGCACTGAGGCCCATTGTTAATTATCAAAAACTCTGACACATAAAGGATGAAACTTCACACAAATTGACAAGCATTCTTGTTTTAATCGTCTGGTCAAGTGGAAAAATGTTCAGATTCATTTGTTACTTTGCTGTAATCATTACTTTTTAATCACAAGATTATTTTTTAGTTATCACGAACACAAAATTCTGCCCTTAATTGTGTCTTCAATGTCCAGAGTAAACAAAAGAATGTCTCAAGTTTATATGGCCATCTGCTATTCTGGCATTCAAGTTTTGATCTGTTACATCCTTTAGAATCATGTTTCACTCTCCCTTACGTTCTATAGGAACTGTAACTGTCCCGTATGTGAAGCTGCATGAAGTGAGGGGAAGATCAACATACTAAAAGTGATCTGCCTCATTCCCTCCAGAATTTCCACGGTTTTATGAGCTTTGAGTTGTGTAGACAATGAAACATATTGAAGTTTGTATCAATTATAGTCAGTTGCCCTAGGGGAGGGTTTCTCACCCTCAGTCATGTTGGCATTTTTGTCCAGGTGATTCTTTTTTGTGGCATCTTGTCCTATGCATTGCAGGATGTTTAGAAGCATCTCTGACCTCTACAGACTAGAAGGACTAGCACTCACCCTCTCACGACAACCAGAAATGACTCTAGACATGGATTGCCAAATGTTCCATGAATGGCAAAATCCATCCCCTTCCAGTTGAGAATGGCAGTTTTAGGGATTAAAACAAAACATACAACAATAACCATCACGACAAAAACATTTCATAATAACTGCATCCCTCAAAATAAGGGCAAAAATCACTTAAAAGAAGTGCCGTTGCTATCTCTTAGCTGACAGCATTCCTCAAGCAATGGGACCAACTACAGAAACAAGGGTCCTGGTTTTTAAACTTTAATGAGCATTCTAATTATCAAAATTGTTTAAACCCCACTTCTAAGAAACTCTGATTCAATAGTTTTTTAATGGAGCCTGTCTAAGAAGTTATTTGTCACCTAACCATGGGAACTACAGAATCACAGGCAATATGAGTTAGTGCACAGACACATTAAGAAATTAGATAAGGGTAGCAAAAACTCAAAATAAAGAATAATGAAGATGATCCAAGATGGAATGGAAGGTTCAGAAAAAAATGCTCTACTTTTGTGGGAAGAAAGAAGTCTTTTTTTTCTTTTCCTATACACAAAAATGTCTCAACAAATAGCTTTAGCCTGTGTTTCTCTGGAATTAAATGCTTACTTAGATCCCTGAGGTAATTTAGAAGTACAAGCCATGCACAAACAACGAACAAAATCTTCGTGTGGAAAATTGTGGCTGTTGCCTCAAATGGTAGTTTTACATAAGGTTGTCTTGACCACATTCAAAATAACAGATGTTGAATTGGCTTTGATACAAAGGATTAGTTAGAAGCTATATCTAGTCATTGCAATGGATTTTCATGTTGAAAAGATGTAACTGAGTACAGCATTGGCCAAGTTATTTTTTTCCATAGGATGTGAAACCTATAGAGGCTCTATATTGATTTTGCCTTGCCATTCTCAGGAAAACTTAACACTAGATCAGGAAGTGTTCACTGTTCCTTCTCAAACCTCTGCTGACACAGTCTCATCAGTTCTTTGCAAACAGAGGTTGCCAGACACAACCATTTCTGTCAGCTGAATAAGGAGTTCTTTTAAAAGAAACATTACCCAAATTGTTCCTTTCATGCTTCTTTTGCAAGCAAATACTTAGAGTGAAATTTCAACAAAGATAACCAAGGCAACACTGAAGTGGATTTTTTGTGACATGTTGGATGAAAATTGTAGGAAATGTTTTTATTCTGCAATGTGTTATTTCAAATTTAATAGTTTTGTTAAAAGGCAAACCCCATGAAGGCAGGGCTGCTTTTGATCTGTTTTGTTTACTGCTATGCCCCAGCAATTAAAACAGTTCCTAATGCCTGAAACATGGTGAATAAATATTTGTTAAATGCACAAATAAACAGAAACTCAGTGTGTTGAAATTAAAATGAGTGAATAACTCAACCTTTTCCTCAAGCATTTCTGAGTAGATATAACTATAAATACATCTTGTTTTATCCTAAGGCCAATCCCTGCATTTGTGCCCATCCCCTTCTCATCTACCCAAAACATTCATTTTCCCCTCTCCCTCATGCTTCAGCATTGTTTTTCCTCTCTAGTAGAACATCAAGCTTGCACACATATAAGCTCTTTTATGTCCTACTTGAAAAAAAAAAAAACCTGCTATTATAAAAATTCTTTCATTCTTGCTTCATTCTCCAATAAACCTCAATTTCTCTTTCTCTTTACAAAAAGCAGTGTCTGCATTTTAAATTTTAATTCCTCACTGCCTATTTCCTCTTGAAATTTCTCCAATAATGTATTTACCCTATGAGTTCACTGAAAGTGCTCATGTTAAGGTCAATAGACATGCCTTTTTTTACTTAACTGAATATGCAGTTCTCAATTCTCACCTGACTTGATTCATCAGAAGCATTTGACAAAATTGATTACTGTTTATCTAAAAACACTATTTATTTGGCTGCTCGTATGTAGAATTACTGCTCCTTACTTTTGGTGATTTCTTCCCAATCATCTTTTCTTGGTTCTTCTCATCTATTTAAACTGTTAGATTTGGAATGCCCCAAGCCTCAGTTCATGGATTTCTTTACTTATGTATTTGCTTTCAATCTTAAATCTCATCTATTTTCCTGACTTTGAATACCACTGATATTGTCCACATTTTCATTAACAACAAAGAGTTTCCTTATGAATTCCATGCTGCCTAGTTGGAAAGCTCACCAAGAGCCTGCCTAAGTTCAGCTAAACTTTCAGACTCATAAGACCATCTTAGCCTTCAGTTGACATCAGCCTACACAAAACGATGTAACACAGTTACCATAGCTTGCTGTCAGGATCCTTACTTCTTCCTTATCTGCAGATGTCCTAGTAGCATTTTTTTTTTTTTTTTGAGACAGAGTCTCACTCTGTCACCCAGGCTGGAGTGCAGTGGTGTGATCTCAGCTCACTGCAACCTCTGCCACCCAGGTTCAAGCTATTCTCCTGTCTAGGCCTCCCGAGTAGTTGAGATTACAGGCACCTGCCACCATGCTCAGCTTATTTTTGTATTTTTAGTAGACACGGGGTTTCACCATATTGGTCAGGCTGGTCTTCAACTCCTGACCGCATGATCCACCTGCCTCGGCCTCCCAAAGTGCTGGGATTATAGGTGTGAGCCACTGCTCACAGCCCAGTAGCATTTTTCGTAGCAGTTTGTATAGCTCAGAGGTAAGGAAACAGAATCATTTTCAGGGGGATGCAAGATCCACCCAGTGCTAAAAACCTCATATACCACAGGAACATTATTTTTTCTAACAATTCAAAAAGCATAGCTTCCAGGGTCTTTATAAGGGGAATGCCTAATTACCATACTCATTGCCATTGGAGAAGCATAACGCTGTGGCTTCTCTTAGTTATTGTTTTCCCAGTAAAAAGGCAGTTTGTCAATCATAGATTTTTAGGCCATAGCAGTGTTATTTTCCAAAACCCATCATTGAAACACCTACAGTTAAAAAAAAAAAAAGAAAAACTTTAAGTTTATTGAATTTGTTACAACAAGGATACACCTAAGAATCAGTGGAATGTCTCAAAAAGGAAGAGTTAAAAAAAGGATGCTAATAGAATTTTGATGTCTAAAATAGTCTTAGTAGGGATTTGTCAATTTTTGCAAACTAAGATGTTGCTGTACTGTAACACGGTCTTGTCTTTAGGACATATGAGTTCACACAGAGTTTTTGTTAGTTCAATTTGTTCTTAGTCCCATCTTGCAACATACAGGGCTGAAACTCGTTGGTGTTAAAACAGTTAGAGAATCTGTGATGTAACTCATGATTTTGGTTTGGTACATTTATCTGTTTTGTGTGCCCTACTGTAGTACATTTTGAAGTGTTATACTTTTGGTTTCAATTTTCAGTGTATCATCTTTTTTTTTTTTTTTTTTGAGACAGTCTCACTCTGTCGCCCAGGCTGGAGTGCGGTGGCACGATCTCGGCTCACTGCAAGCTCCGCCTCCCAGGTTCATGCCATTCTCCTGCCTCGGCCTCCGGAGTAGCTGGGACTATGGGCGCCCGCCACCACGCCCAGCTAATTTTTTGTATTTTTAGTACAGATGGGGTTTCACCATATTAGCCAGGATGGTCTCGATCTCCTGACCTCATGATCCTCCCACCTCAGCCATTAGTAACACCACTAGCATATTATTCTCATCAGGTTCTCAGGGAAACAGAAGTAGAGAGCAAAGCATAAGTCAAATTCTTTTCCCAAACAGGAAAACTTTAGTTAACCCGTTTCTGCAATATCAGACTGCCTGCTTTACATTTCTCTCTAGAGGTAGATCCCAAAGTCAGCTTAAACTTAACATTTCCAAAGTTAACAATTTTTCCCCCACCAGAAAGTAAACAAACTAACAAACAGCCAAGCCAAACAAAGCACATAACCACCCAAAGACTGCTGCTTCCACAGTCCTGCATATTGCATTCATGGAAAGCCCACGCTTTCAGCTTTGCAACTTAAAAACTCAAAACCCCCTTGGTTTTCTGTTTTTCTCATAACTCATATTCAGTTGGGTAGCATATTCTATTAGCTTTATCTTCAAAACAAATCCAGAATTCAATCACGTTTCATAATTTGTTTTGCCTGGATGCTTACAATATCATACTAACTGATCTTTTACTCCAAACTTCTCCTTCAATGTGTTGGAGACATGGTGACCACGGTGATTACTTTATAGTTATCTCACTCTCCTCAGAAGGTTCTGGTGGCTTCCCTTGTCACTTAGAGTAAAATCCAAAGTTCTAAAAATGACTTTCAAGGACCTAGGGAAAATTGCCTTCACAATGTCTTTAACCTTCTAATTTTGACAATAATAAAGATTGAAATAATAGGGCTGCATACAGCTGATGAAAATAGAGGAGCCCACTAGGTGCTCTTTGAGCTCAGATGGCCTCATAATACATGTATTAATCATCTCTTCAGCCAAACTTGCAATATTTCTGAGAATACTGAGCTTGCATTGTTGAAGATAGAATTTTATCACGGAGGGTCAGCAATAAAGCTTTTATATCCACATGGTTTGTAAAGGTAATTTTCTGAGGGGCAAGCAGATTGTTTCAGCTTCTGATCTAAAACTAGGCTTTCTTCACATACCAGCATAATAATGGTGGATCTATGGGCTTCCATAGAAACCATAACATATTGTAAGTATGGACTCCATTATTTTCTGCATGTAGATCTTAATGAACTATTGCTGGAAAGAACATGAAGCCTCTGACAATCCACCTATGACTAGGTTACACTGTATATACTATATCATGAGCATTTTTCATGTCGATACATAAATGTGGCCCCAGGCCATGTCTGAACAGTAGAATTCTACCTGGCTGAACAATTCACTTGGTATGATTTGTTGTGACCTGTCTACATGATTCTCTAGCAATGGATGTCTTAATGAGCCACAGCAAATTGGATGAGCCAATTCATAGTTGCTTTCACCTACTGTACCCATGACCTCAATTAAAGTTATAGATTGCTTCTAAGCATTGCTCATTGGTAGTGGCTCAAACAATAGCATAAAATGTTCTCATTAATCCCTTCATCAAATTGAGAACATATATATCAGACATTTCTGCACTGAAGGTATTACTTTACCTATGGAGATATTGCATAATTTGGTTGACTGTAATTGCTGCCATCTGCATTCAATTATCTAATTAGTAATTGCTACCACATACGCTACCACTTACATAAAAAAACTAGCAGTGCTTTAAACCCTGCATTCAAAACTTCAGAATGAATTTCAGAATGTTGCAGTGTGTTTTGCTTGAAAAACACATTGTCAATTGCTATGTATATATGCCCCAGGATAAGTAATAATAAAAAAGTTAACCTACTATTTAGTTCACGTAAAATTATTGAAAACAAAAATTGAAAATAAAAGTAGTAAAGAAAAACACGTATAAAAATAAACTTTAAATCAATCTCAACGTCACATTAACAATCTATAACACAAAGGTTTCACCCCTTTTAACTATAAAAGAAAATTAAGGAGTTATTAGAATATCATGTTTTTCTTTTTTAATCATTCATTATTGAATGAAAATTATTTGAGAACAATTTTATACAAAATACTCAATTTAAAGATCATAGAAAAGATAAAAGACAATTTTGACTATAATATAGATGGCACCAATGTACACAATTAAATTACAAACTATAATGTAATACCTTGAAAGAATTAGTGACAAAGATTCTCTCCTTGACTAAACTCTTCTTGGGTTCCTCTGAACTATCTTCTCAAGTCGGCTATGACTTTTCGGCTTTCATGTTCACCTCTGCATTGTCCAATGTAAATCAGTTTAACACGAGTTTCTCATCTCCCATATCCAATCACCCTCCATATCTGATCAGGTTTCTCATCCTCCACCGTTCCCCATGTGATATCTGACCATGCTGACATGACTTTAGTAAGAAGTCTGTTGTCTGTTTAGCCAGAATCCCCATTTACCCCTCATGTTTTCTCCTATGAATTTTCCATCCACGGTCCCTCACCCAGCTCCTTGGCTATAATTTGCCATTTTCCTTGCTGTTCAAAGTTGGGCCAGATATTTCTTTCCTAATACAAAACTTCACAGTAGCTGTCTCCCTGTCTACTTATCACAATAGTCCCCACTAAGTAAAGTTTACCTTACCAGGTGTTAACAAGTATCATGATTATTTTTTCTTTAGCACTGCTAAGCACTATTATCATTGTAGTGGAGAACAGTTTTAGTTCTGTAGAGAAATACACAGTTAAACTGATGGTGCAAAAGTTCAATTCATTCTTGAAGAATAGATAAGATTACTTAGAAATAGGGACAAATGAAGGTTGCTGCACATAGAGAAAATAGCAAGAACATGGGTGATCGGTTTACATTAGTGATAGTGAGCCACGTGTTCAGGCTAACATCTTAACGTGACATTCAAACAATGAAAGTTTGACAGTCTACAAATAAAATGCTGATTGTTCTAAAGGTTTCTCTTCTTTATTTACACTGTTTTAGGAAAATATAACAAATACACAGTTGACATTTTGAAGTCCAGTACAATGTATAATACAAAACCTAATGACTGTCAAAAATCCTTGGGAACAGTGACATAGATTCTTTTTTCTTTAGCTTAAATTTAGTTGGCATCTACTTATACAATTCTAGTATATCATAGCTTTATTCTTTGACTCCAGTATTTCTCCATTCTAATACATATTTTATGCAACCTCCTGATTAATTATTTTGAAAATAATTTATGCAGGTTTTATTTATAGGACAACTAGTTATTAATCACCTACTGTGTGGCAGCTTCTTTGTTAAGTACTGGGAGAATCATGACGCTTGTTGACCATACGTTATGCAATTTGAACTATGCCAATTCTCCTAAGCAAAAAACCAATATGGCTTTTTTTTTTTTTTTTTTTTTTTTGCCTAGCTCAGTATTTTCCAAAACGTATTCCATACTAAATCAGAATATCCCGGAAATGTGTATTTTTAACAAGTTCATTGAGTATCTTCCTAAAAGCATGTTGAAGAAAAATGTCTGTTAGTTCGACTTCATTTACTGTTTCATCTAAATTAATATATATAATTAACTTATAGTGTTTTTTTAACTCATCTGTTCAAATCACTATCAAGGGGTGAAATATTTGTATGCACACTTCATTCAATCCAATCATCACAGACCCCAATCTTTCCTTTCTATATTATTACCTAGTCTTCAAAAGCTAGCTCAGGTAAAATCTGTTCATCATAATTTTCCTTACATAATTAAGGCTAAACTAGACCTTTGCACATTTTATACTTTTATATACAATGAGGCATGATAATATATTGTCTATATTAATAAAAAAATCCAATGTCAGTATTGGTAAATGGTCTTAAAAATCAGTGTGTAAATTCCAGCGAAAGATAAAGCTGAAAGATGATGCTGAAAGTCTTACATAGATGGGAATGATAAGATCGAATAGTAATCATTCGGTTCTACAACAAGTAAAGTTCTTATGTTTGAAAATGAATATTAAATGGTAATCTACATTCTTAATTGGCCCTAGATTCCTAGAGCCAGTTGCTTTGCACACAGCAAAACCAAGAGAGTACAACATTAAATCCAAATAGAACCTTCTAACATAAGCAGAAGTGTATTAAACACAAGGCAGGAGAAGAGTTAAAAGAAGCACTCTATTTGATGACAATGAGGCAAAATTTCAAGTAATCTGGAAGAGCAACAATAGCGAGAAACCTAAGGGCACTGCTGTGGATTTCATTGTGTCCTCTCAAATTCCTATTTTGGAGCCCTAACCCGCAATGTGATTTTATTTGGGGAAAAGGCTGTTACGAGATACTTGGAATTAGACCTGGTCATGAAGGTGGGATTATCATGATGGAATCAGTGTCTTTTCAAGAAGAAACAGCTGGGCGCGGTGGATCACGCCTGTAATCCCAGCCCTTTGGGAGGCCGAGGTGGGTGGATCACCTAAGATCAGGAGTTCAAGACCAGCCGGACCAACATGGAGAAGCCCCATCTCTACTGAAAATACAAACAAATCAGCCGGGCATGGTGGCACATGCCTGTAATCCCAGCTACCCAGGAAGCTGAGGCAGGAGAATCGCTTGAACCCGGGAGGCAGAGGTTGCAGTGAGCCGAGATTGTGCCATTGCACTCCAGCCTGGGCAACAAGAGCAAAACTCTGTCTCAAAAAAAAAAAAAAGAAGAAGAAGAAGAAACAGCAGAGAACACGAATTCCAGCTTTCACTCTCTCTTCCTGTCCTTCTCTACCTCTCTCTTTCTCTATTTTTTTTCTCTCTCTCTGCTATGTGAGGACACAGCAAGAAGAAGGTCTGCAAACCAGGAATAGGGTCCTCATCAAAATCTGACAACGCTGGCACCTTGACCACGGACTTCCATCCTCCAGAACTGTGAGAAAATAAATTTCTGTTGTATAAACTATCCAGTCAATGAAAGCTTATTATGACAGCCTAGACAGAGTAACATAGGTAAATGCAACTCCAGACATACCAGGATGAGCCCCTATTTCAACTGTGCCATATGCTCTTTAAGATAAAATCATTAAACCAAAACTAGATAACACCCATAGACAAAACTACTCCAGACGCTGTAAGAAAAAAATATTACCTGAATGGAATGGGAAGAAAAAATATCTCACTGGACATTAGGAGAGACACACTTTCAATTAGAAAGGAATTGCAGAAAATTATGGAGCAATGATACTGTATCTTTAACATCATACTAAAAAACAAACTGAAAATTAGTTTATACTCTGATAACAGATTAACATGTATTGATTTAAGTTCTTGAATGTTCTGCGGAAAAGTATTAGAATAAGAATATACTTGAATTTTCAATGTTTTTGCTTTTATCTCAAAGTGCAAACCACATAGTAACTAACACCTTTGATCAAGTTTTAATGCATTTAACTTATAATTTAATTTGTGCTACTGAAATATTTCTTATAAATGACACAAGGTGCTATTTCCATTTCTTTCTTCAGTATTAGTAGGTTAGCATTTGATGTTTAGTTTTACCTCTGAAACAAAACAGATGTTTGCTAAAGTGTACATAAAATTTAAAGCCTCATACAGTGTAAGGAATTGTTTTAATTATTATAAAACTGTTTTCAGAGGTAAAGTTGCCTTTGGGGGTAAAAATTCTATATAATGACATCTAAATTACTCACTTTTTCTAAAGACAAAGAGCAGCTTATGGTGGAAATCTTATGAAAAATATCTGAAGATAAAGCACAAGATAATAAATTAGGCTCTAAAAATGCTATATCCTGATTACAACTTCTGATATTTTGCCCAGGATTTGAAAGAATCTAAAATATGCACAACCATGCAGTCAGCATTATTTCTTGCAGAAGAAATAAGTCATCCCCAGTTGGCAAAGTGGTACAAATAAGTATAGTAGCTATAAATCATGTACTCTGTTAAGAGAAACAACTCTAGGGAGGTTGGAAATATACTCTATTTGGAGAAACAAATTAAGTGCATGGGTTGAAATAATTGATAATGTTTCTCCCATGTTTAATGGGTTTCTTTTTCACGTGATAATCCAAAGAAAGTATGATTCCTTTTAGTCTGTTTTTTTATACAGGATCTTTCATTTTTTGTAATCATGTGTATCATAGCTTTTCACCTTTATGCATCATGTCTTATGTTACGAAAGTGTATTGACTGGATAGCATCAAAATGAAACAAGTATTATGTTCATGAATCAAAATAAATTGAATTAGAACAAATTGTGCTTGTTGAAAAATTACTCATTCCTAAAGTAAGTGAGGCTGCAAAAGGAAAAAAGGGTAGTGGGGTGGCAAGTGTATTGTAACCAATAAATTCTACACTAGTGAACATGTTGAAGTTAAATTCTAAACTTGATGAATCTGAAAACAATGTTGGAACAAGCTACATGAAAAATAAACTCTTGAATTAAATTATATAAAGGGAATAAAGAGAGAGAAAATGATTAACATTTTATTTCTGTAAATTTATTTTTATATTGATTTGTTCCTCCTTTCTAACTGGAGGCAAGTTTTACCTAGTAACGTACAAGTATGAGGAGTCTAGGTGTTTTTTTTTTTTTTTTGGCCCAAAGACACCCAAAGCTAATTATCAATATTTTGCACTTACTCTGAAGTGTTCATTTTATTTTAGTTCAACACTTCACTGTCATTATTTACCTGAGTAATTCAAGAACCATGAAGATCAAGAAGTTTATAAAAATTTTCCACATCGTGGTAATTAAACTACCTCTTCCCCAGATTACACACTTGATTAAATCATGGCAGCAAAACATTTTTTTCTCCAATTGATGAGGCCTTATTCATGCTATATCTTTTATTTTAAGAAATAAAATAATCAATTATTTTTTAAACTAATGTGGTTTTCTGGCAGTACTTAATAAAATTTTCTTTATCAACTACTTCGGCAAACCAAAAACATTAGAAAAACATCTGAGTAAAATTATAAAAAATTATATAAATATTGTTTAGTTGGCAGTGGGTTTGAGGGCAAGTATTGGTATATGTGTGTGTCCATGCGTATTTGTGTATGTTTTAAAGGAGAATTAGAAGAAGAGAGGAAAAAGACTTATGGAATTATGTACTACTGAATAAAATTTTAAAATTCAAAGTTTAAATCACTTTATTTCATGCATAAGAGAAAGACATAAATAGCTTAAACAACTTGCAGTTTGTAAGTGCTTGCATTTAGTTTTCTACTCTCTAATGGTTTTCAAAAACTACGGAATTTTACCAAAACAATACTGGAAAAAGACCTCATGAAGAGCAATGTCTTGAATGAAGACACTTACCTAATATCTTCTGTCCCTGATGTAATTAAGAAAAGAAAGGGAAGTGGCTGGGCTTTGTTTTTTTACATCAGCTTAACTTTGTAATAAAGAACTCTTTTCATTTAGACTTTTTATTTATTTATAACAATTTGATTTAAATTAACTAATTCTACAGGAATGTTAAGGAATCATGGCAGGATATCACTAAAAGTATCAGGGAATTACATGTTGCTAAGGAACAATAGTAGCCACCATGAAGTGGCAACACTCACATCTCTTCCCATAACCACCTAATTTCTTTGCAAGTGGTTTTGCTGTGTTTTATTTGAGGGCACTGAAATTTTCAAATTTGCCACATAATATTAAATGACTGCAAGTTGCTTAATTCTTGATAGGAAAGTGTCCCAGTAAATTAGGAAACTGGGTTAAGAAATCATGTGAGGCACTTCCTAGCAATGCTTTGTGCATCTTCTTGCTGCTGGAACTGATTGGAGAGTTTGTAATCTCCTACACTAGTGCTTTACTTATTTTTTTACATTGTTTTTGTTATTGATTATTAAAATATATTCATTAAAATTCACACTGTGATGTATAGTTCTATTGGCTTGGCAAATGCACAGTATGTGCCCTTCAATATAGGCATGATAAAAAAGAGTTTCATTACATTAACATTTTTTCTGTGCATTCCATTTGTAGTCAAATGCTGCCCCTTATTTTTACCGCTGGCAACCACCGATCTACTTTCAGTCCCTATAGTTTTGCCATTTTTAATGCCAGACAAATATAATCAGATAATATATCGCCTTTTGGGTTTTGTTCCTTGCACTTAGCAAAATGCATGTTGCTGCTTGTACGAATAATTTACTACTTTTTATTGCTATGAGTCATTCTAATGTATGCATGTATCAGTTTATGTAATCAGTGGTTGAATGACATATGGTTTTTGGGTTTCCAGAATGATTAACAATAAAGCTTTTGTAGGCTGGGCGCGGTGGCTCACGCCTGTAATCCCAGCACTTTGGGAGGCCAAGGCGGACGGATCACGAGGTCAAAAGATCGAGACCATCCTGGCTAACACGGTGAAACCCCGTCTCTACTAAAAATACAAAAAATTAGCTGGGCGTGGTGGTGGGTGCCTGTAGTCCCAGCTACTCGGGAGGCTGAGGCAGGAGAATGGCGTGAACCCGGTAGGCGGAGCTTGCAGTGAGCCGAGATTGTGCCACTGCACTCCAGCCTGGGTGACAGCGTGAGACTCCGTCTCAAAAAAATAAATAAATAAATAAAATAAAGCTTCTGCAAACATTTAAGTACAGATTTGTGTGTGTAAATATATATTTTCATTTCATCTCCAGCAAATATCCTGGAGTGGACTACTGAGTTACGTGTTCAGTGTATATTAATTTTGCAAGACACTACAAAACTGCTTTCCAAAGTGGCTGTGTAGTTTTGCACTCCCGTCAGCAAAGTAGGAGAGTTTTAGGTATTTTGCATCCTTGCAAGTCCTTGGCATAGTCAGTTTTATTTTGGTTTTAGTCATTTTAATAATTGTGTATTAGCATTTTATTGTTGTTATTTGTATTTTTTTATTTTCCTAAAAATTTATATTGTTTAGTATTATTGTGAGTGTGAGATTGATAATTTCTAGCTCTCTGTGTTCTGATACATGCCAGAATTCTTCAAGTGTTGCTTTTAACTGTTTTCTTAATGCAGAACATGAAAATAAAGTTTATCTGAGGAGAAGTTCAGCATTTAAAACATCACTAGACCTTTAAATTAATGTTGATAAACATTGAAAGTGATAATATCATCAATAGTCAAAAAGTTATATTTTGTCATTATTTCTGATGTGAGGATATTTGTGATATACTTAATCTTATGTTATAATTGTTCATTTAAAAAATTAATTCCCCAGCTGTAGCAAAAATGTACATGAGAATTTTACTCTGATAAGGAAATAGAAAGTCACCAGATGAAATATTGCTTGGATCCAAACCCTGAGAGCAAGCCAAATAAACTACAAAATCAAAGTTAAAAAAATCCATTTAAAAAAACACAGAAATCTAAATGAACTAAATTCCAGGAAATAATATCCCTCTTCCAGGAAAGAACAGACCTGTGGCATAATGATTGGAAAGGAAGGAGTTCGATTCTTCATTTACAGAGGACATGCTTGTGTACAGACATTATTATTTCAGATCTTCAAATGCGAATTAGTAAATTATTATTGCCTGGTGGCAGAAAACAAAGTCGGAATGCACAATCTTTTCCATTACTATATTTTAGAAATAAAATGGAAAGTGAAAACAAATACCATTTGCAATAATTTTAAAAGCATACCAAATTGCTATGAAAAATATAATAAAATGTGTTCAAGATCTCTGCATTAATACCACGACATATTGCTTAGAGAAGTTAAAGAAGACCTAAATAATGCTGACTTACACAATGGTATATGGGATGTACTTGGTTTGAAAGATTCAACAAATTTAAGTCATCCATTCTTCCCAGGAATATTTATGGTTTCAATGCAATCTCAATAAAAATACTAGCAGACTTTTGAAGAAATTTATATGCTAGTATTAAAATTTATATAAAAATGTAAATATTTAAAAGAGCCCAAATAATCCTTAAAAGGAACAAAAAGATGTCTTACTTAAGTTAAAAATTTACTATAATTTATAATAACCAAGGAAACTTATTATTCATGAAATAATAGACCAAAGATCTATGAACAGAATAGATTCCAAAAATAAATCTGAAGGTTTATAGTTAGCTAATTTTTGACTAAAATGTCAGGTCAACTTAATGAGGAAGATAAAGTACTTTTTACATTTAGTACTGAAAAAATTGCCTGTCTCTAGTAACATAATAAATAAGTATAAAGTAAATACTCTATCCTGCTCTATACACAAAAAATAATTTGAGATAGATTATACTGCTAAATGTAAATACTAGAGAATATTTTTAGAATAAGCAAGATAATATATTTGAAGCCTTTGGCTAGGCAAACATTTCTTAGATAAAACATAAAAAGCACTAAAAAATTGATTAGATTTTTATTAGAGTTAAAAACTTTCTGCTCATTAAATGACATCTAAATGAAATTGGATAGAAAAATTATACACTGAATTTGTTTTCATAAATGCATCTTTTAAAAGCCTTTAATCCATAAAATACGAAGAATCAAACTAAATGTGTTGGGAGCAAGCCCCCCAAAATCTGGCCATAAACTGGCCCCAAAACTGGCCATAAATAAAATCTCTGCAGCAATGTAACATGTCCATAATGGCCATAACGCCCAAGCTGGAAGATTGTGGGTTTATGGGAATGAGGGCAAGGAACACCTGGCCCGCCCAGGGCGGAAAACCTCTTAAAGGCATTCTTAAGCCACAAACAAAAGCCTGAGAGATCTGTGTCTTAAGGCCACGTTCCCGCTGCAATTAATTCGGCCCATCCCTTCGTTTCCCTTAAGGGATACTTTTAGTTAATTTAATATCTATAGAAACAATGCTAATGACTGGCTTGGTGTTAATAAATACGTGGGTAAATCTCTGTTCCGGGCTCTCAGCTCTGAAGGCTGTGAGACACCTGATTTCCCACTTCGCACCTCTATATTTCTCTGTGTGTGTGTGTGTGTGTCTTTAATTCCTCTAGCGCCACTGGGTTAGAGTCTCCCCAACCGAGCTGGTCTCGGCAAGTGGCGCCCTTTTGTGGGGGCTCGAATCCAGGTCGAAGGGTCGCCGGAGCGATGGTTGGAGCGGAAAACTAGCTGGAGGACACCCGAGTACGCTTAAAGCAATCCCCCTGGTGAGTAAGAAGGGGAGCTCAGAAGCGTCAGGGTAACAATGGGGCAAGTTTGGGGTCTGGTTCGTTTCACCAAGCTAAATGCCCATCAGTGACAGACTGGATAAAGAAAATATGGCATATATACTCCATGGAATGCTATGCAGCCTTGAAAAATGAGATAATGTCCTTTGAGGGAACATGAATGGAGCTGGAGGCCATTATCCCCAGCAAACTAATGCAGGAACAACAACAACAAGAAAAACAAAGTCCGCATGTTCTCACCTATAAGTGGGAACTAAATGATGAGAACACATGGACACAGACAGGAAAATGGACATGGGGCCTACTGGAGGAGGAGGGAGAGGATCAGAAAAAACAACTATTGGATATTAGGCTTAGTACCTGGGTGACAAAATAATCTGTACAACAAACCCCTGTGACACGACTTTACCTATGTGAGAAACCTGCACTTGTATCCCTGAACCTAAAATTGATGTTTTAAAAAAAATTATTAAAAAAATTATTAAAACTTAATAAGAACAAAAAATTCAGTTGAAGCTGGGTAGATTTAAACAGGCACTTAACCAAATAACTTGTATGAATAACAAAAAATATATGAAAAGGTATTTTGTTATTTAGTTCATCAAGAAAATACAAATGAAAATCACAATGAGATACCACTAATCTCCTACTAGAATGGCAAAAATAAAAAGAATAGACAATTTTTAAGTTGTCTGAATTTTGAAATATTTTCTAGAATATGGATCCGCCAAAACACTCATAATTTGCTGATGGGTATATTTCATTATGTAGCTATTTGGATAACTGTTTGGCAGTTTCTAATAAAAATAAACATGAATATAGCCAATAATTTATCAGTACTTACACCAGGAATAAAAAAAGTGATTAAAACAACTTGGGAAATAGTAGATATAACAGACTTATTTTTAATAGCATTAGACTAAAAACAACTTTAATTTCCATCATCAGGATGATGAACACATCCTATTTTAGTCATAAGTGAAATATTACTCAAATATTCAAAGGTATGAACTAATGTTACAAGATGAATAGTTTCAAATATAGTATGTTAAGGAAAAGAAGCCAGACACAAAAAGCCAGATTGTTATTTCAAGGACATTAAATCTAAGAACAGGCAAAATTAATCTATAATTTTAGGAATATGAAATTATTTGCCTCTTGGAGAATAGAGAAGAAATAGACTGAAAGAAGCAAGATGTAACTCTGGGAATATGGAAACGCCCTATCTCTTGTTTTGAGTCATGGTTACCTTAGGTTATACAACTATTAAAATTTGCCAAACCAACAGGTGAAATATGTGCATTTTATTTTATGTATTTTAAAAGATTTTAAATGTTAATGAAATAAAACATATTTGTAAAAAACAAAAGCAAAACAATAATTGTGCTCTTATTAGCCTTTTGTTTTGCTATTGTACTTCAATTTTGGAAATGTGTCTCCATCATTAAGATTATTATCTTTAGATCTTATTTGTAGAGTGTTTCTGCATATATGACATAGACCATTTTCTTCAACAGACTGTCTTTGTAAAGTCTGATTTATTTTATGTTTTCTAGTTTTATTTTATTTCTAATTGACAGATAATAATTGTACATATTTATGGAGTACAATGTGATGTTTCTATACATACATTCATTGTGGAATGATCAAATCATTAAGACATTTAAAATTGAGCTTAAAATTGTATTTTCAAAATTACCTCCCTGTAATCAATTCTTTACACAATTCCTTGGTTGGTGGGTGAGGGGAAGGATCAGAAAGTATAATTAACACAATTTTTAGTTGTAGCCATTAGGATTAAACTGTTTCTTAAATCTGATTTAAATACTACAGAATTTTCTTCTTTCTTTTCTTTTTTTGAGATGGAGTCTCGCTCTGTCACCAGGTTGGAGTGCAGTGGCCCAATCTCAGTTCACTGCACCCTCCACCTCCCAGGTTCAGGCAATTCTCCTGACTCAGCCTCCCGAGGAGCTGGGACTACAGGCACACGCCACCACACCTGGCTAATTTTTGTATTTTTAGTAGAGACGAGGTTTCACCATGTTGGCCAGGATGGTCTCAATCTCCTGACCTTGTGATCTGCCTGCCTCAGCCTCCCAAAGTGCTGGTATTACAGGAGTGAGCGACCGAGCCTGGCACATAATTGCAAACTTTGATTACCACATTTACTGATTGAGTCCCTCTTCTAATGCTTAGTGTTTATATTTCTTTGGCTTGTTTCTTTCCCCTGACATCCTCAACTACACTCTTATTGATGATAGTGATAGTATATCAATTTCTGTTTCCCTTATTACCTGATCAAAATAAATGACATATATTATAAGCTAAATTTATTTAGTGTTAAGTACTCCAGGATTTAGACAGAATAACGTAATATATGAATAATATAATATTTATCTATCTTCAGTAATTTCTTAAAAATTTCAGTGTTATCTTTCCAGGCATTTTTGACAATGGCAGTTTACTAATTTTTCTTTTGATTGTCTTAGTGTAGAACACTTGGTCACAATGATAGGGTCTGGGGACTTGATGCCATGTTTGGTTTTTCTATGAACATATTCTCTTAAATCGGTGTGTAATTTTATGACACATAGCATAGGATGACTATGTGTGTGTGTTGAAGAGGGTGGAATATGGAGATTTGTGAGGAGGGCAGCGTTTGTCTCCAGGGCTCCTATGTTTTCCTGGCAGGGAACCCAGCTGCCTGCAGCTCTAGTCTTTACAACTTTTGGTCTAAAGTGAAACAAAGAACAATTTTGAAATTCCATATGAACATGTCAGGAATAAATGATGACTGTACTGGGCCATATGATCTACTATTCTCGAAGGTCAAGGGGGTATTACTGTGATTCATGTTCTTGGTGAACACACAGAGCTTTCCCAAGGACTAGTTCTCAAAACAAAAGCATCACAAAGAAAAGTGATAAAGGAATCAAAAATACAGGAATCAAAAAAGAAGGATTGAAGAGCGGATTAACAATGGATGTGCACTATTAAGTATGTTTTCTAGAGGAAGCGCTGGCTATTTTTCTGTGTCCTCCAATTTTTACTAAAATCCTTGTTCTTATGTACTCTGGCCCCTCCCTTGCCTTTTATCTTTGTTCTACTTGGGTTTGGAGAAAGCTGTCTTCTTCAGAGCTCCATATCACTGGCTTCCTGATAAATTTGGCCAATGGAAGACACTGAGGGGGAAATGGCAAACAGGGAAAAGGGAGAAGACTGAATGTCTCTCCTTCTGTCTTTGCCTCCTAAAGTCACTTCATCATCTCTGAGGTGCTGGCTTCCATGAGCAAGGCTTATCAAATTTCTAGCTTCTGTTGGATAATGTTGGCACCTGGGCACTAGTAACACTGCCTAACCTACTAGTTTCTCCAGTCTAAAATAGTAGGCTGTGTTGCTGCCAATCTTACTGTAGCTGTTAATCTCAAGATCGCTTCACAGTCCCATTTGGTTTAATATAATAGTTCTTTTATCAAGTATAGTCATTTCAAACAATTAAATGTCCTATTTTTCTCATTAGATTGTGACTTATGTCTATTTTATTCTATCAGAATCTTCACCATTCTTCAAAGTCCACCTTAAATGCTTTTCTTGCTTTTTTTAATTAAAAAAATCAACTCTCTTTTTTTAATACTTTGTTCTTCTGTTTATACTCAACACAATTTCATATTGATGATAGTTTTATGCACGCTTGTCTATTTTAAATGGCTATTTGTAGAGAACTATGTCTCATTTATCTTTGTATCTCCCAATATGCAAAAATGTCGAAGATATAACATCTCTCCCACCGTGCTTTCTCACATGTATTATGTAACTGACAAATGTTTGTTTCAGTGAAGTAAAATAAATATCCAGGATGTGCTATGTCATAGAAGAAAAAATCAGAAAACAGTAAATTTGGGAATTCTTGAAGACAGAGACAGTTATAAACTGGATTATAGCAAATTTTCCATTAATGTATTAATATAATTTGTACTATAATTTTGCCTGGAATAGTGCTGGTTTATGCATATTTCCCTGTCTAATCAAGTACTTCATTTCATTCTCTAAGGTATCTAATTTTGGACAATAAAAGTATACATTATCATAGTTGTAACCTAGACTACCAAATGCAAGAAAAAAATAGTTTATATACCAAATAATATTTTGTATTTACCTTTTTTTTTTTTTTCTTGAGATGGACTTTCACTCTTGCTGCCCAGGCTGAAGTGCAATGGTACATTCTTAGCTCACTGCAACCTCCGCCTCTCAGGTTCAAGCAATTCTCATGCCTCAGTCTCCTGAGTAGCTGGGGTTACAGGGCCCCACCATTATCCCTGGCTAATTTTTGTATTTTTAGTAGGGACAGGGTTTCACCATGTTGGCCAGGTTAGTCTCAAACTCCTCACCTCAGGCCATCCACCCACCTCGGCCTCCCAAGTGCTGAGATAACAGGTGTGAGCCACCGCACACAGCCCCAAATAATATTTTTTAAATCATGAGGCCCAGGACAAAGTTCAAGAATGAACAATGAGAAAGGAAATGACTTGTAGGGTTTCTTATTTGTTCTTTTTCAAGACTTTTGAGGCTGTTAAATAAATAAACCTGAGTAAACTGAACTGAGAGACTCAAATTATCACGTAAATAATTCTTATAAAGAATATCTTCTCATCACGGTAAGCTGGAATTGTGCACTTGCCTGACCAGTATATGGTAGATGACTCAGGCTGAGATGGAACATTGGAAAAATAATAAATAAGAGAAAATGGGCAGTGAGCATCAGACAGTGGGAGAATTTGTTTACCTAATGAGGCATGGGTGTTCAGACAGAGGCAAGGCAAAGAATGGCAAGTGCAGGTACTCACTTCTATAAATATAATTACCGTATTAAATTAGCTTCCTTAAGATGCATACTAATACTTAATATGCTAGTAAAAGTCACTGTTACATTCATGGTTTTTATTTTCCCTTAAGCTGGAAAGCAAATGAAGGCTCATATTTCCTGAAAATTAATCTGTAACTCTCATCTCTGGGAATTAGGCTGATTTCAGTCATTCAGCACAGATTGATTCCTTACAAAAAAGATTAGCATGACGCTAAATGCCTGGTATACAGTGTTGAATAAAGCAGGCATGATACCTGCCCTTTTAGAGCTTTACATCTCTTGAAAAACAAATAGGCATTAAACCAAAAAGTAAAGCAAAAATGTGTGAATACAGAATATGAAACTTCACTTTGCATTTACTTTCAGTTTTTAACCTTCACAGAGCATGTTTTGAATGCCATTCAGATTTAGGAATAAGAATAATGAAATTAGAATCATTTTTCAAGCTAGTGCTATTTCTGCATGGACCCAGTTTATTACGTAGTTCTTTATTATAGGCCGTGACCTTGAGTTTACAGAAAGAAGGAAAGGAGAAAAAAAATCATTTAGAAATATCCTGGCTGTATTACAAATTCATAGAAGGAATTAAAATCAATGAAAGTTATTGGCAAAAAAGAATACAGCAATAAAGATTTCCCAGGCTTCTACATGAAATCAGAATGAACGTTAAGAACAACAGCAGCCAACATCTGCCATGGTACTCCCAGGTTGTCTGAAGTCACAAAGAAACAGAAACCTATTTTAAGATACAATTTGATGGAGATAAGATGTCCTTTGTTCAGAGTCAAAAATAATATATCTAGATTTGACAAGGAGACAGTTGTTTAAGGAAGCAAAGCTGAGGAGAGATGTTAATTAATTTTGATGCTTGTTACTAACAAAGTTAATTTTACCTTTATCAGCCTTCATTCCCACCCCACTACCTTTCCATTCAAACATCCATCTTACAACTTCTAGCTTTACCAGCAAATTTCAGAATATCTGCAGGGCAAAATCTCTGAATTCGATTTACTCAAGGCTATTCAAAGACAAACTCAGGGAGTTGGATCTCAAATCTCTCTTCTATTACATCTGGATGATGAGGTTTATTTAGAACTCCAAAAACAGAATACCATGAAATTAGATCCTGTGCTCTGAAAGCTCTGAACTTTTTATTGCCAGGTTAAAATTGGGAACAGTTAGCTCTTGAGTACCAGGTAACAAGTGAATCTTCATGGATCTTAACTCAATTTGTATAGTCAGTTTCTCCACTGTGATTATTCCGCCCCTTTAGATCTCTTCACCCCTGTAAAATTATCTCTAATCATTTCATCCCACAGGACCTTACTTTGTCATGGGATCAAATAGCTTTTACTATACTGTATGGCACTTAAAATGTACTTCTAATTTTGCCTGTATCCATTTGGTACGCACTACTGTTTCATATATAACAAACTAATTTCAAGTACAACAGAATCCATTATTTCTAGTCTTTAGGCTTTTTGTTAACTTATTAAACAGTTGGATTAATATTTTTGCCCAATTTTTGAAATATAAACATGAACTCCTTTATTTTTCATCTTCAAGTTTTACTTTAATCACTTAGAAATTGTATTAATTTCATTTTTCTCTGCCTTATGCAATATAATATTTGGTTTCAGAATTGATTTAATGTAATATAAGGATAGTAGATTACTTGGTGCAACCAATGATCCATCAATTTTGTAATCATATAAATAATTAAAGACATATTTATGTTTTAGTGATACCTGTTAAGTATTTAAATAGCTGTGCTTTCACTTATTTGGCACATCTAAATCATGGTAATTTTTTTTTGTTTTTTTTGGTACGAGAAAAGTTTTTTTTTTCTTTTCATTCTTTTTTCCAAATGAGAAATTGATTTGAAAGTATATATGGGCAACTGTAAGAAAGCATTGAAGAGAAACATGAATATGGTCACAGTTTCTTCAACGAATGCAGAAATGTCAAATATTTTTTTCTCAAAGTAAAGCAAGCAGCAAAAAGAAAAACATATATTTTTAAGTTGTTACAGTCTTAGCAACTAACTTGGTAAACACTGTTTATATCAGATATTCATGCATGGTTGATTTATGGCAGCAAACTTGCAAAAAAATTAATTGTTTATTTGGCCTAAACCTGCTTTCATAATAATTGTAGGATAGAAGAAGGGTGTTTTCTTGTTTAGTTAAAAAATATTTTAACATATTTTACCTTTATTTCATTTTATTATTTTGTTGCAAATACTAAATTTATAAAAAGTCTGGGCCATCATGGTAGTGCATGCCTGTAATCCTAGCACTTTTGGAGGCCTAGGTAGGAGGATCACTTGAGGTCAGAAGTTCGAGACCAGACTGGACAAAACAATGAGATGCCATCTCTACAGATAATTAAAAAATTACCTGGATGTGGTGGTGTACTCCTAGATATTTGAGAGGCTGAGGTGAAAGGAGCATTTGAGCCCAGGAGCTTGAGGTTGCACTGAGCTGTGATCTTACCATCACACTCCAGCCTAGGACTCTGTCTCAAAAAAGAAAAAGTTTTATTCCATGGAGACATTTTGTTGTTAGTAGTTTTGCAATGTGAAGTTAGAATTATAAATATATCATAATTGTAAAGTACATTCAGCAGGATTATGAATACATGCATTCAAAATATATTTTATTTATTTTGGGATAATTGTAACTTACAAATGAATAGGTGCATGGGCTAGGTGCGGTGACTCTGCCTGTAATACTAGCACTTTGGGAAGCAGAGGCAGGAGGATCACTTGAAGCCAGGAGTTGGAGACCAGCCTAGGCAACAAAGCGAGACCTCTGTCTCCACAAAATAAAAATAAAAATTAGCCAAGCACGATGACCTGTGCCTGTAGTCCCAGCTACTCAGGAGGCTGAGGTGTGAGGATTGCTTGAGCTCAGGAGGTCAGTGAGCTGTGATTATGCCACTGCACTACAGCCTGGGTGTCAGAGCCAGACCCTACCACAGAAAAAAAAGAAAAAAGAAAGCAGATTATTTTCTTCAGCACTTTTCCTGGAAAAGAAAATTTATGTTGAAATATGACAACCAAGAAAGTCTGTAAGATTTTGCTCAATGGACAAAGAGCTCAACTGTCTGCTCCACATGATTTACCTTGATCCTTCTAGGTATCACATAATGGAGTGTTCTTAGTGCTATTTAAGCAGATTTTAAACTTAAATTGTTTTTGTAATTACTCTCATCCAGCTGTAGATAACTTAAAAAGATAACCAATGGGAGAAGGTGCCAGCTCTAGTATAATTCACCCTGTAAGGAACAGAAATTGTATTGAATGGAAAGTTTGCAACATCCAGGCTATAACTGCATACTATTGAATTACAGTGTCTACTAGACTTCTTTTCCATGGGAGTTGGTAAGATTAAAGAACCTTACCAGAGTTGATGAAGTTGAAGATCCTGTCCAGATTTCTTTACTTACATCCAAAGCTTATTGGAATGACCAGATGGATATTTCTGCATTAAGATGAGTTATAGTCTTTGGAAATGGACTGTATTTCACAGAATATCATTCATTTTTAATTGGTACTTGAGTGTGTTATATATTTATGGGAAAGGATGTTAGACACATCTTACTAAATACATAAAAGCAGCAAAGTATGGGTAACTGGAATAAAATATGGCTGTCAGCTCACTGACTCATTTTGTTTTCCATTTTTTTTCAACCTAGCAATCATTAAAATCTAGATTTACTAAATAACATTGAATACTCTCAGACTTCTGGAGTAGATGGCACAGTGGAAACCAAATCATTACAAAATAAATTTGCAAGCAAAAATAACCATTACAATTTTTTTCTACTAAGAACATTGATATATTGACTATTATATTCTACCCTTAAAAATCACAGCCTGTGATTTTCAACTAAAAAAAAAGGCATTAACAAAACCAATATAGTAACACTTTAAATATTTAATAAAGTTGAAATAACTAAGGGAGAAATTTTCTGGAATTCATTTATTCTGTGTTCATTCTGGATTATAAACCATGATTATATAGTTCCATTTTAATTTTGAATTCCAGACTTAATGCAGGATCGGGTGATGCAGTTATCAGCTGAAGATGAAAAAATTCATTTCTAACAGTAATAATTTATCTCAGTGAGCATGTTACTGCTGTTAATTATGTGTATCAGTCTGGCATTATGGGAAGTTCATGAACATTCTTGCTAATCAGAGCTTAGTTCCACTTCTGGCTCTGCCTCTTTTAAAATGACTTCCCTCCTCTCTTGTTCCAATTTTCTTCCTCATTACTGAGTTTCCCCAATGTAACATGGACATACTACCATCCTCAAATGTTTTTGTAAAGATGAAATTAGGTAATATATTTTAAATGTCAGATCCAAAATAGACTTTAAGCAAATAACAATGTCTTCTTTTGCTGTTTCTTTAAAATATATGTGTATATTTAATAATTAAATTCAAGTCATTAGTTTGTTTCTAGATGCTGTTAGAGGTTAAATTTTCAAATTAGCTTGTTAACGAACAGTGTAATTTATATTTAATAGGAATATTTAAAAGTTCCCATTGCCCCTGGAAGCAGTTGTTGATATTCAATAGCTGCTGAGAAAATGATGCCGACAAGTATGGAGGAACAGGACACTGCCAGTCAGGAGGTGAGCTACTGTGTGTGTAGGACTAGTGTCTCCATTGTAATGAAGGCATCGACTTATCCAGCTAATGTTAATAAATCCAAGAGAATCGGTATATTCAGAATTTTATGAATGAGCTTTACATTTACATGCTACTTCCATGCCTGAATTAAAAGTCATCCCATTTGTGAAAAAGGTAGTGTGTGGGAAGTCAAACTGTTGTTCTTTTCAGATAGAAATCAACATTATTAACGACAACAACAACTGAATGTATTGGCAGTTTAGTAATTTTCCATTAAAGTGTAAAGCAATCATGATCAAGAAGAATTGAGATTGAGCCAGTTAGGCTTTTTCAACATTTAGTTTGTTTTCCCTTCCGTAGCCCTTTTTTATTCTGAGTGCATAGATGATGTAAGTGGCGGCATGCAAATCTCCTCCTCTGAGAGCTGTAATTCAGTGCAGTGTATAATTGCGGTGTCCGTCTGGCACAGTCCCACAAAAGCACATGTAGCAGTTTAGTTATAAAAATGTTCAGGTGACAGAATGCCAGATGTTTTACATGGTTGTCATCTTTGAATTTCCTTTCATTTTATCACCTAACAGAACCTCAGTATAATGACCTTCGTGTTCATGCATTTTTTACATTTTCTTTTGACCTCTGAAACATCAGAAAAATAAGCATGGTAAATAATTAGGGTAGAATATCTATAACTCTAGGTATATATCCTACATGGTGTATAAATTATATAGATTATTACATTATAGCAAAGCCTTCTTTAATATTATATTTTTGTGTGTATTTAGCTATCATGTTTAACTATGATCTTCCTTAGATGAGGATGTAAAGTGGTATTCAATGTGGTAAATAGTTTCTTGTGGTTTTGGTTCACTCTTGTGAATCCATGTGAGTCTGGATAATCATAACAGCAACATATAGAGTAAGTCTTGAATCTGGATTCTACAAAGTCCTCATTCTTTTCTTTTCACTGTTATTTTTGTGATTACTACGGAGGAATGTTTTATACCTTTGGCCAACTTTAAGAACCAGATCTATGCAATGCTTACCATTCCTTAGTCTGAATCTTTGTGTCAGTAATGCACAGAGAAGGTTCCCTGTAAAAAAAAACAACCTGCATTGTTTTTAATGGAACATAACTAGCTGCTTTAAAGACAAGGACAAATTGTCCAACAATAATTGTAATCTATGGCTCCGGGTGTATTGATCAGCAGGAATATACCTAGGTTATGTCTAACTTTAGAGGATTCCCTAATTTTAATAACAGTGATGAAGACTTTTGATAAATTGTGTAATGCTGAAACTCTTGCTTCTGAAATTCATTCTTCATTTGGACATAAAATTCAGCTTGAAGGACTTTTTGTTATATAAAATTTCTGAATGCTTTTTAGACCTTCCATTTTTTAAACTGCAAATGGTTGCTGCAGAATTCACTGAAATGTTGAATTTAAAATGTTATAGCAGTCAAAGAAAACACTGCTGATTTTACTGATTGTTTCTCAAGAGTCTGTCTCCCTGAATATCAGATACTGGTTGATAAAAGGAGTTGCTGCTGCCCTATCATTCTAAGCAGGAAAAAAAAGTTTTATATGCAATACTCAAGAGCTATTAATAGTAGTGGACAGTGATTTTGTTCTTAGAGAGAACTATTTTAGATGAGGAGTTACATCTTTCCTTTCTCTCATGTCTGTTAGTCAAACTCCTTAGATATAGAATCACCAGCCTCCTGGCATACGTCTATTTCTCTCACATTTCTATTAAGTTGCCAAACAGAGCAGAACGGCTTGGGGAACTTGGGGAGATCAATTTGTCTACATATTGTGCTTCTTAATTCGATTGCTTACAGTTGCCATGAATATTTGAAGAAAAATAATACTTTGGTATGAAATACATCTCTACCAAGTATGATTTCTTCATCAATAATATTTGTTGAGATAAATGCATTTATTTTTACATAAATAATAAAATGTGTCAAAATATTAATTAGTAGTTATACAAAATATTACAATAGCTTCCTGTTTTGTAAAATTGCACATTATATCTTTCATTTATTGTAAGAGTTAGTGTGTAGAGAAACTTCAACCTGTGGCACATGAATATTCACCCAGAGAAATTTCAGTGTGGGCCAAATGATAATCCATTGTCGATTAATATGCTTTATGTACCTGTAGAATACATTAGGCTAACACACATTTGATCATTGTGAAACTGGGGATGACTGACTTTATTCCAATTAATAAAAACTGACTTTGTTATAGAAGTTGGCTAATCATAAATGCATATATACTCTAGTACTTTCAGAATTCATCTTGAGAAAAAGACTGATTTATTCAATTAGAATAAAGTAGCTTTCAGAAGTATGTGACATGGGACAAAAATTAAAACCTAAGGAAGCAAAGGCTTAAAGCTTGATATTAGGGTCTTCTAAAAGATCAGTCCTGACAAATTAAAAATAGAAACTTTTGGCTGGGCGCAGTGGCTCACCCCTGTAATCCCAGCACTTTGGAAGGCCGAGGAGTGCGGTTCATGAGGTCAGGAGTTCGAGACCAGCCTGGTCACCATGGTGAAACCCCGTCTCTATACTAAAGATACAGAAAATTAGCTGGGTGTGGTGATGCATGCCTGTAGTCCCAGCTATTCAGGAGGCTGAGGCAGGAGAATCGCTTGAACCCAGGAGGCGGAGGTTGCAGTGAGCCGAGATCGCTCCATTGCACTCCAGCCTGAGTGACAGGGCGAGACTCCTTCTCAAAAAAAAAGAAAAGAAAAGAAAAAAGAAACTTTCTTCAAGACAGCAGGATTTTCCATAAAGACTCTCCTATTTGGGGCTAACGCACAGTGTTTGAAGGCTAAAAAGGGCCATTTTTAAAGCATTATAAATTTTACACAATAAGAAATTAAGAATCTAGAATATGTCCCTACTTGCCCAGATCACATAGGTATTATTGATGGAATTAAAGTAGAGCCTAGTAAAACCAGTACAGATTCTAGTACACTCTCTACCAAAGTATACACTGTTATGCACAAAAACAAGTGCAGAAAAAAGAAATAAGACTCAAAATGGATTCATATCAAGCCTGCTGTATGTAAGAGGTAACATTAAGTGTGGTCAATAAATGAAGGCAGGAAAAGCCTTAAATAAGCAGGATTTGAAAAGGCAAATGAAGACTTGATAGGGTAGCTATTAAAGTAACTCTTCAAATACATCCAAAATCTTCTTAGGACCGACCTGTAATATATCACTTACCATTTGTCAGAGAAAAAAAATATATTGCTTTTATTATTCCACATTTCTTTATTCATGCAGATTGTGAGGACAAGCACATCCCCTTTTCTCTAGATATGCTCAACAAAATTTCCAGTATTCACAGATATACATAATCAAAAACAAATGTACGGTGACTTTTTATGAAATTCTTTGTGTGTTATAAACTTATATTTTCGGTCTGGCTTGTAGATGAATTCATAGCTGAAATTGTTTTTTACCAATGTTACAACTAATGACTCTAGAAAGATTATTATAATTTCTTACATCTATTTATATAATATTGTGGCAAATATTTGTGTGTATGTAGGGGTGTGTGTGTGTGTGTACATGTTGATTTTTCAAAATTGTTAACCTGACATTCACTAAAATGTATTTCCTGCAGTTATCTTGTTGTATTTCTTTGGAGGCAAATAATTTTAAATGTTGATATGGTAAAAATATAGCTTAGTTTGAATCTTGTTAGGTGTTAAGTATGGTTGAGAAGAGTGTTATCTAGAAACATAATTACGCTGAATATTAATGTATTGAAATTCTTAATCTGATTCATTACTAGGTGAAGAAAGAAAACTAAACAAAATAATTTCTTTTTCTGAAGAAAATGAAGCACAATCGTACAAGATTAAAAATGTTGTGTAGGAAAACACACAGAAGAATTTAAATCATATTAAATGTTTAAATGCGTTCAAACATACCTCAAAACATATGTTCTGCAATGAAACTCTGCATGTTTAAAACAAGGTATAATCATTAAAATACAATTAAAATCATGTCATAACATAAAATAAAAGCTACCATAAGGATATTGTGAGTAGTATTAGGTGCCCGATTTACCTGAAAAAATTCTCTTAATTCTTTATCTTCAGCAGTAGAATACGGGCACTAGGGAAATTGCTATGTGTTTTTTTCATCTGTCATCTAAACCATTGATCCAAGGACAAAATGTAAGAAGTGGGAACACCCTATGGATTTGGAAACTTCCTTGTGGAGTTTCAGTTTTATAAAGCTAAAAATAAGTTGTTAGTGACACACAAAAGCATGATAGTCCTGTTTTTATTTGTGCCTTGTTTCAAGTAAAATTTAAAATGTAAGCTTAACCAAAGTAGGTCGGTTAGCACCCTAACAAAAAGACTTTTCAGAGAGGCATTAATTTTGTTAGATTTAATTGTTTCCTAAAGAAATCTCCTCCCATCATTAATTCAGCTTTCTTAGTCTTATAAAATGAAATGGATAGCAAAAGAAGAGAGGATATAAGGAAGGAAAGAAGAGAGGGAGTGAAGGTGTCTTACTCCATTTGCACTGCTCTAAAGTAATACCAGAGGCTGGGTAATTTATCAAGAACGGAGTTTATTTGGTTCACAATTCTTCAGACTCACCATGCTGGCAAGAAGCATGGTGACAGCATCTGCTTCTGGTAAAGGTTTCCTGAAATTTCCATCCATGGTGGAAACCAAGGGAAGCAGGCATGATTTGGCAGTGAAGGAAGCAAGAGACGGGAGAAGGTGTCAGACTCTTCTTATCAGTTTGTTCTTCCAGGAACTAATAGAGCAAGAATTCATTCATTACCATAAAGACGGCACCAAACCATTCATGAGGAATTCACTGCCATGATCCAAACACATCTCACCAGGCCTCACCTCCAACACTGGGGATTAAATATCAACATGAGATTTGGAGGGGACAAACATCCAAACCATATCAGAAGGAGTAAGGAAGGAAGGCAGAAATAGCATATATGATTTGAGTAGGTGTCTTGGGGGAAACTTCGAAATCAATAACTTTCTAAATCTAGAGTATAAAGATATATCTCCAAGAAGGATAAATTACAAGGTAAGGATAATACCAAAAATAGAGCATTGATCAGACCTAAGGTTTCTAGTAGGTTAAAATATGCATCTATCCGTGGAAAGTGATTTACCCAACAAAAGTTTAAATTTGAAAAAGTCAACTTCTAAACATTATTATTACCAATGTGTAAACAAATATAAACAAACTGCAAGGGCCAAAACTTAAGCAAATAATAAAGTGGGAGGAAAGCAAATTAAAAGGACTTAACCATGATCAAAATGCTTGAAATAATTGTCAGAAATGATTCTGAATGCCTCCTTTAAATTTAAAACTATTATATTATTGTCTAGCAGGAGAGATTGCATATAGGACAAGAAATACTTTCTGTGGAATCAACTATATTCACAGTTGTCTTGAATTTTAGTGAATCATTAAAATTCTTTTTGTTTTATGTTTTCAGCTATGTACCTTTTTCATAGCTCTATTCCTTCGGTTAAAATATGTCATGAGAAGTCCTTATAGTTTTAAGCTAGGAAAAATGAGTTTCTCGGAGTAATCAGCAACCCAAAAAGGTCTAGATGTGAAGAGCTTTGAATTAGGACTTCTCAGGCAGTTATAAACATATTAGATTTATCAAACCTAGAACTGAATAATCTGAACAACTTCAGAACTTGATTCTTCATCTAAATTCAGGATGTGGGAAGAAAAGTACTCATTAGTCTACAAAATTAGTTAACTACATGAATTGAGTGGCAGCATAAAATAAAAAATGCTAAAGTAATTTTAATGTGAGAATATTTTATATGTAATTGAAGATGTGCTCTGCTCCTATTACTGTAAAAGAAACTGCCTACATGTCTTGGCCTATCAAGCATGCAGAATGAAAATATTTGTTAGCATTTGTCAACAAACAGCACAAAATGCACAGACATGCACACATATTTAAGAGCAACACAAATTTGTTTTACTGATATATGTTTCAATATACTTAAAATGTTTGAATCAGTAATTCTAAAAACTGATTTTATATTGAATTTTATGGGGAATATTTAAATATAATATTTATTAAAAATATAAAAGTCAACATTTATTTTTTCCATATATATGTACACATATGCCAATACCACAAACATACACACAAACACACACACACACCACGCACAAAATGCATTCACTTATCTTACAAAATCATATGCATCAATAGAAGAATTAGCAAATAGAGGGTGCATTTCTCTCAAACACTTTATCATGAATTCCACTGGATATATCAAATAAATGGGACTGGTTTGGTATGCTTAATTTTGAACATACAGTGCCATATTCAAATGGAAAGGGGCAAAAAATGAGCAAAATTCAGGGAGAAGCATTATTCATTGTGTTCTACAAGGTGCTATGCTGGACAATATATTCATTATCTCACTCGTCCTATCATTAAAATATTGATAATTTACTTTACAAGTCTGATTCTTCTGTATAGTTAAGGATACAATATTCTGATGACATCTACGTTAATTTATTTTAGAGTTTAGAAAATGCTACGTTGTTTCCATAGTTATAATGAGCTACACATTTCTTATGTTATGTTACGTAAAGTTTTCTGAATAACAATAGTCCTAACAGATGCCTTATGGAAAAATTGTTGGCTATGGTCATATAACTTATAAAAACATCATAATAAACACATTTCTTGGAAATTCAAAGTGAATATTTACGTTTTAAAAGATCTGAGGAGGCCGGGCACGGTGGCTCACTCCTGTAATCCCAGCATTTTGGGAGGCTGAGGTGGGCAGATCACAAGGTCAGGAGCTCGAGACCATCCTGGCTAACACAGTGAAACCCTGTCTCTACTAAAAATACAAAACATTAGCCGGGGTGGTGGCGGGCACCTGTAGTCCCAGCTACTTGGGAGACTGAGGCAGGAGAATGGCGTGAACCCGGGAGGTGGAGCTTGTGGTGAGCTGAGATCGAGCCACTGCACTCCAGCCTGGGTGACATAGCAAGACTCCATCTCAAAAAAAAAAAGAGATCTGAGGAAACATGTTTTAAAATATTTATTTATTTATAACATGAAGCTCTTCTTTGTGTTAATTCTTCCTTTCTTTTTTTTACAACATTTTTAAAGATTCTTCAGAATAACTGTTTTAAACCATACAAAGTTTGTGGACAGAGACATAATCATATTTATATATAAGTAAACTTTTTCTAACTTGGGGAAGAACAGGTTTTAATTAAGTTTTTACTGAACAAATAGAAAATTTAAATGACATGCTTTATCTTCATGAAACTTCATGAAGCATATATTACCTTCATACGTGGAGAGTATTTAGAAGCTAACCTTGTTGGGGCAAATATTTAAAAATTGGCAGTAATTCAAATAAAATGGCAGACATTTATGCAGTTTTCATTTTAATGGCAAGTGATTGTTTCCACACACCTATCACATACCAAACACAAGCAGGAGATAGTCTCTTTGGTCCCGAAAGCGTTAGGTAGCAATCCTTGGAAATAAAATACTTAAACTACCATTCTTCCTAACCAATCCTCACACATAATTGTGAAGTTCACCATTATATTTCACATCTAGCTGTCTGTTTTGTGCTGCATCTTCTGATAGAAATCTTCACCAATTTCCTTCAGCTGAATATCAGGTCATTTTTCCACACTCTAATGAAGTATCACTTTCATCTTTAAAGCATTTTCTGATAACTGCCTGCACCCTCTCACCCACAAAGTTTAATTGTCTCCGTAACTCTTTTCCTATACTTTGTGGTGTTCAATGCTTCTATGCCTACACACACACACACACACACATTATAGTTTATTATTTGCACATTTATTATCTACACATATATATACAGACATATATACAGAAAAAAAACTTGAAGAAATAAGATGAATAACAAATTTCAAATATATGTTTTCTTCCACATATTCTGTATTTTTAGGTTTTATTGTACTATTAAACCTTTTATTTAAGTTTTCAATGAGGTGCAAGGTATGGATAGAGATTCAGTTGTCTGCATAGGGATGTCCAATATTTTAAATAGGGCTCACAACGACTCATAACTATGCTCTGAGTTACCATCTTAACATTGTCTAAGCTTTCAATCTGTGAACATGGTACACATCTACATTCATATGGGTCTTTTTAAATTTCTTTTGTCATTAATTTTTGGTGTTCAATAGAGAATTCCTGAGCACATTTTGTTAGCTGATTCTTAACCAAACTCATGTTATTGGTGCATTTAAAAAAAATTAACTTCAATTGCTCATTGTTAACATAAAGAAAAGCTATGTTTTCTTTATATTTGCTCTATATCAATGCCTACCTAAATTATTAGTTTTATAGACATTTCTTTATTGGTTCCATATGATTATCCATATAGCTCTGTCTTCCATAAATAGAGACAGTTTTATTTTTTCCTTAACAATCTGGAAGTCCATATTTCTAGCTTATTGGACATCATAAGTGTGTCAGTATAATGTTAATTAGAAGTGGTAGGAATAGATACCCTTGCCTTGTTTTCAATTTTAATTTTAAAAAGTATGTCATGTTTTATCATAGTTTTGATATTAGCTGTAGATTTGTGTAGATGTTATTTATAATGTTAAGGAATTTCTATCCCTATTTTACTGAGATTATTAATCAGAAATAGTGTTGAGCTTTGTCAAATATTTTTATACATTAATTGAGACGCTTACACAGCTTTTTCTTTAGTCTGGTCATATGATATTTTGAAGGTTTTCAAAAGTTAAATTACCTTTACATTACCAGAATAATCTCCATTTGATTTTATATATTATATTTTTATGCATTGCTCGATTCTACTTGCTATAAGAGTGTATTTGTTAGATTCTATTATTTTGTTGATGATGTTTGCTTCTATGTTTATGAATAATATACAATTTTACATTTTTATGATTACTTGATTTTATTTTAAAATCAATAGTGGTTTCACAAAATCAATTTCCATAGAATTACTATAATTTCTTTTTAAAATATTTTGTAGAATTCATTGGTGAAACAATCTTGCCCAGGAATTTTCTTTTATAGAAAGTTTTAGCTATGAATTAATGACTTTAATAGACTTAAGACCATTGAAGTGCTCTCATTCATTCTCTCTTTCTCTCACTTTTTGAGTGAACACTGCTTTTCAATAAATTGAACCATAGTAAGTTGTAGAATTTGTTAGCATAAATTATTTCATAATTTTTTATGATCTTTTTATTCTCTATGGTGTTTGTAATTATATTCCCTTTTTCATTTATTGGGTTCTTAAGTAATTGTCTTTATAATTTGTTTAGAGGTTTTGGTTGTAATCATCAGTGAAATATATAGGCTGCGGTGAGCTTACCTCACCATTTGAGAAGCAGAACCATGGCTTTTAATTTTTATGTCAACAAATATATCTGTTATTTATGCCTTTTGTGTTCCCATTGTGCTTAAGAAGTCCTCAAGAAACATAATTCAGCTCAAGATTCAGTATATTATTTAAAATATATGTTAAGTTAGCTACTAGATTAGATGAATACACATGAAATGCTTTCTAAGTCAAAAATTGCTTATGCATCTTTTTTTCATTTAAGGAATAGTTTTTCCACAAAAGAATTTATATGAATATTTGAACCTATAGACCTTTTGAATTATTTTATATTTGCTGATGTAAAAACTGTAGTAGTTTAACAAATACAATTTAGTTTTTAATAAAAATACTATAAAATACTAGCTTTCTTGGTATATCTGTGTATATAAAATGGATACGTCAGAGCATTTAAAATATAAATTACTTGTCCTAAAGTTTTTAAAAAATTTTTTATTGGTTTCATAATTGTAGATTCCAGGATGAGCCACTGGTTTTTCCAATATGTTATACAATTCAATTAGATTTATAATACTGCAAAAGAGTTAATATATTAAAATCTTTTTGATATCTTTAGGTATCATAATTCTATAAGTCCACATGGTAATTACCTAATTACAAGCTGTCAGCATATGATTGCTGACACTTGTAATATTTTGTAATTACATAATTTGGCATGATTACAATTATAAAAAGGGTACATGGTAATTGACTAGAATTACTTTTAGTTTTTCAGAAACACAAAATTGTATTCTACATTAAGATGAGGGATAAAATGTAGAACATTTAGTTCTATCTGAACAGCCATTTGAAAAAAAAATAAGGAAGTACTTAAAATGCAGTTAATTAGATTTTTTTATTTGTATTTATATAATATCTTAACATATTTCAGTTAATATTATATTTACCTGATTCTGTTGAAATGTATGGAACACAATTATTTAATATGGAAACAACATTATTCTTTGCTTTGACTTTTTTATTTTAGTAATAAGTTATTTCGTATCTTAGTGGAATAAATGAACCGAAAATAAAAAAAGTGATAAAGAGTGACATTTCTGAACATACCTGCATGTTTATTATTTCTCTGATAAAATTCAAAGTCCACTAATAATAAGACATAAGAGTTCCTATATACATCCTACCTGACCTTTGTTCTTATATGTTTCATGAAGGGGATAGTATGCTTTTTGAATAGTAGAAGTTAATATTTAAAAGCATGTTGTATACAAAAGCAAGCTTATAATTCTGGCTTGCAGATTTATAGAGACCAGAAATAGCAAAAATTACTGATTCTACTAAAATATCACTTACTTCTCTTTAAAGAAACAAGTAAAAAACTACAGTATTTTATTTTTATAGAATGTTTTAATTTCTGATCAAAGTAATTATAACTGGTGTTCTTTTTTTCTTAAATGGTTTATTGCAGCTAGTAAAACTAAAATTCTCTCTTAATCTCTCCCTGCCATCAATCCTACAAATCACTCAAAAGAAGATGTAAAACTGGCATTTGTTTAGCCCTTATTTTGTATCAGACAATATCCTTAGTATTCTGAATTCCTCATCTCAGTGACAGTAAATTCTTACATTTTCCACTACACTGCCCTTCTTTGACATATCACCTAATTCAGTAAAGATTACAGAGGTATTTTTCATTGACAAAATTATACAGAAATTATATGCATTATTAATAGATATATAATAAAATAAGTCATTTAATTTACATCACAATTCACTTATTTTGTTAAAGTCTAATTTTTAAATGTTATTTGCTTTCAAAGAGTATATATTTATTTTATTTCATTAAAATTTTTAAAAATATTTGAATATATGTGTGATGGCTGCAATGAATGAAACGAGCATTTTTTAGTCTGTTGTTTTAAATAAATACTAGATGCATACAACAATCAATTGCACAATTATTGAATGTAGCCAGAGGTTTTCAATTTAGAAATAAGGCAATTTTTAAGAATGCATATGAAAGTCAACTACAGACAGTATTTTATCTTATAGTTCATAATGGACCCATTTTTTTATCTCAGCAATGGACTTAGTTTAAGTTATATAAGCAATAGAACCTTTTAGAATAGGTCTGAAAAATGGATCAGAGAAAACAATCATGACCTTACAATCACCTTAAATTACTTGCCTCTTTTTTCATTTGTTTGTTTGTTTTGTGTTTGTGGTTTCTTTTTAATATTTATTTAAAGGATGGAAAGCACCTTTTGAGCAGCTCTGCTCCTGAGACAAGTTACCAAATGCGATGGTTGCTAGGAAGCAATTGTATTTAAACTATGGTACTGAAAGTCAAACTTTCAGCTCATGAATACACACAACAACAAAAAGAAAAATATAATACAGAATCTAGGGCTTCACAATGTAAGTTAGTAAAAAACATACATTAATATAGAAGATTATTTTCTTTATTTAGATGCAATATTTGTAATCTTTAAAACACCTGATCTCTTGACATTTAAACAATTTTACCTTTTTTACTAACATAGTTATTTTAAAAGAGCTCAGTTTTACTGTAATGATGTCAATTAGGTTAATGAGATATTAATATTGTAATTCTAACAAATGATGAATAATGGAATTGTTGAAACCTTTGTTTCCCTTAAAGGATGGTGATTTTATTGAAAATAGTAAAAAAAAAATTACCTCTAGAAAACTATTTTTTAAATAGTATTATAATTGACTATATCAAATTACTTCTCTCATTTAGACACATTATATTCTAGAATATTTTGAATATGAAATTTTCAAACTTTTCCAGAGACCCTGAATGAATTTTGAAAGAGGGAACTGGTAAATGAAGACAAGGTGTACCTCTGTGGTTTAGGTTTTTAGAAATAATTTTCTAATGCTTAAAAATGGGATTGAGACTTTTATTGGAGAAATGTGGAATAGATACAATGTTTTCATTTTTTAAAATTTTTTTGCTACATACAACGAAAGTCCCTGGATATTTTATATAAAACAAGCAAAGCAGAAAATTTGAGACAAAAAAAAAAAAAAAAAGAAATGCCTAGGGACCTAGAGACAGCAGGACTTGCACAACAAGGTAGAGAGTTCCCTGTGTTTTTGTGTTTTTTTCTTCATATATTCCAGACTTGGATTTGAAGAAGTTGGCAACCTGAGAACATTAACAAGCATAGACAAAACAAGTGTTAACCAAAGGCTATTCTCTCCAACAAAAGGATCAGGAAAGAGTTAGGTTAGCAGACACAGACTTTTAGACAATAACCTCTTTACACTAGCTAACCACTGAAGAAAAACTATGGCTCCACCCACAAACACATCAGCAAAGACCAAACAGGGAACCTACATATTTACCCTTACTAAACTGTAATGAGATACTTGAACAACTCACTGGGGCACTGTCAAAGAAGATAAAGTAGGAAGTCTGGACTTTTATCTCCTTCAGTCAATAACAAGGCCACCATCAGTGGCGTCACTAAAAACCATGCATGGATCTTGAAATCCCACCATCAGCCAGTCATAATGAGGCTTTCCATCCCTCCTCTGAGGGGTGATATCAAAGGAGGTCTAATTTAGAGTTAAGTTATTCAACCATTGCCCAGTTGTAATGGCTGCACACTCTACATAGTGTCAGTGGATACTAAATGAGAGATAGTCTCCAATCTCTACCCAGCAGTAATAAGGAGCCCCATATCTAAGAATCAGTGGCAGCCTAGTGAGGAAACTGGGCTTCTATCTCTATCTAGCAGGAATTAACGTGGCATTTCCAATCTCCTGTTGAAGTGAGATATCAGTGAAGGTCAGCTACAAAAGAAGGTTTAATTAAGACCCAGAGTTCCAGAACATAATACACAAATCTCTATGCTGCAATCAAAAATTACTTATTGGACCAAGAATAAGATGGTCTCAAAATCAATGTAAAAGGACAATCAACACATGAAACACCAAGATGATAGAGATGTTAGAATTATCTCTCAAAGTTTTTAAAGTAGTCACGGTAAAAAAAATAATGCTTCAGCAAATAATTATGAACAGATTTGGGGTGGGGAGGGAAGCTTCAGCAAAGAATTGGAAAGTCTGGGTAAAGCAATGAAAGATATAAAGAAAGATTAAATAAAAATTTTAGAACCCAAAACTATTTTAAAGAATAAAATGTTTGGTGGATGGGTTCAAGGGCAGAATACAGGTGATGTAAGAAAAAATTAAAAAATAAAAAAATAAACAGAAAATAGAGCAGTAGACATTACCCAACCAGAATAACAGAGAGAAAACAGACTGAGAACAAAATGAACAGAGGCTCAAAGAACTCTAGGACTATAACAAAAGATTGATAATGTATGTCATTGAAGTACAGAAGCAGAAGAGAAAGATGGTGGAGCTTTAAAAGTACTTCGAGATACAGTAAATGAAAAGTTTCCATATTTGGCAAAGCAAATAAAGCAACATATTCAATAAAATGAGTGAATACCAAACCCAAAGATAATCCAAACCAAGATGCCTCATAATTGAATAGCTGAAAATAAAGATATGTAAAATGATAGACAAAATAGAGAAAAAACAATGTGAGTGATGGCTGACTTCCCATCCGAAACTATGAATGCCAGAAAAAAGTGGAATATATTTCAAGCATTTAATGAAAAGAAATATCAACCCCAAAACATACACCAAACAAAAACAGTCTTCTGAAACAAAGGGGAAAGCAAAATATTTTTTAGGAAAAGAAAAAAGAAGAAAAAAACCTAAGATAATTTATCACCAACAGAATTATCCCAAAAGAATTGCCAAAGGAAATTAAACAAAAAATAAGTTAAAGAGAAGACAACTTTGAACATCAGTAAGGAAAACAGAACATGATAAGAAAACTGTGTTAAAGTAAACCTCTTGAGGTCTATAGAGTACATTAGATGTTTTTTTGTTTTTTGTTTTTTGTTTTTTGTTTTTTTTTTGAGACAGAGTCTCACTGTCACCCAGGCTGGAGTGCAGAGGCACAATCTCAGCTCACTGCAACCTCCACCTCCCAGGTTCAAGCAGTTCTGCCTCAGCCTCCCAAGTAGCTGGGATTACAGGTTAAAGCAAAAATTTTAAAAATTGTCTAAAATAGTTCTAATTTATGTAGCAAAAATATTTGACAATTATTTTATAGCCCAGAGAGGACAAAGGGATACAAAAAGAGATAACATTTTTACACTTTACTTAAATTGAAGATATGCCAATAACAGTATAGTGCGATAATGTATATGTTTAATATCTAGATCCACCAATAAACAAGCTATACAAAGAAATACACTAAAAAAACCTTATAAATAAACAAATATAAAATTAAAATTAATTTAAAATAGCAGACTTAGGCTTAACATAATAATTACATTATATATGAGTCATATAAATGCACTACTGAAAATGTGGGAATCATCAGTGTATTTAAAAATATCACCCAACTCTACACTATCTACAAGAAATTTACTTCAAATATAACAGTATAGGTAGCTTAAAAGTAAAATGATGGGAAAAGATATATCAAGCAAACATTAATCAAAAGGAAAAGAATCTATATTAATAATATATAAAGCAGAATTCAGAGTAAAGAAAATTACTGGAGGCAAAGAAGAATATTGCCTATGATAAAAGGGCTTATAAAAACAACGTGTTTATTGGCCAGACACAGTGGCTCACACCTGTAATCCCAGCACTTTGGGAGGCCAAGGCGGGCAGATCGCCTGAGGTCAGGAGTTTGAGACCAGCCTGGCCAACATGGTGAAACCCCAATTCTACTAAAAATGCAAAAATTAGCAAGATGTAGTAGTGTGTGCGGGTAATCCCAGCTACCCAGGAGGCTGAGGCAGGAGAATCACTGGTACCTGGGAGGTGAAGGTTGCTGTGAGCCAAGATTGCACCACACTCCAGCCTGGGTGACAGAGCAAGATTCTGTCTCAGAATTAAAAGAAAAAAAAGTGTTTATCAAGAGATTAATGTGTGCACTAGAATACAGCTCTTCAAAATATTTGAAACAAAAGCTGACAGAACTGAGAGAAAAGGCAGGTTCACAATTATACTAAACTGACTCTACATAAACTAACTTCCTTCTCTTAACAATTGATAGAACAGCTTGATAAAAAGTCATCAGAAATACAGAATACAATAGCACCATCAACCAATTGAATCTAATCAACATGTATAGGACACTCCAACAGCAGCAGAACATATGCTCATTTCATATGCTTGTAACACATTTACCAAAATAGACCTATCGGAGGCCATAAAACAAATTTCAAAAAATTTTAAATAATTAAAGTAATATAGAGCATGTTCTCTGACCACAAGTTAAGCAAACTAATAATAACATAAAGATAAGAGGAAACTCTCCAAACTCCTGGTAACTGAAAAGCAAAATTATAAATAAAGCATGAAAATCCCTAATCTGAAAATATAAAATCTGAAACACTTTAAAAGCTGAAACTTTTTGAAAGTCAGCATGACACAACAAGTCGAAAATTTCACACTTGACCTCATGTGACTGGTCACAGTTAAAATTGTTTCATACACAAAATTATTTTTAAATGTTGTATAAAATTACTTTAAGTCTATGTCTGTAAGATGCATATGAAACATAAATGAATTTTGTGCTGAGACTTGGGTACTATCCCCAAGATATCTCATTATGTATATGCAAATATTACAAAATCTGAAAATCTCTGAAATCTGAAACACTTCTCGTCCCAAGCATTTTGGATAAGTGATACTCAGCCTGTAATCTATACGTTAAAAAATAATTGGCCGGGCGCGGTGGCTCACGCCTGTAATCCCAGCACTTTGGGAGGCCGAGGCGGGTGGATCATGAGGTCAGGAGATCAAGACCATCCTGGCTAACAAGGTGAAACCCCGTCTCTACTAAAAATACAAAAAATTAGCCAGGCGCGGTGGCGGGCGCCTGTAGTCCCAGCTACTCGGGAGGCTGAGGCAAGAGAATGGCGTGAACCCGGGAAGCGGAGCTTGCAGTGAGCCGAGATTGCGCCACTGCAGTCCGCAGTCCAGCCTGGGCGACAGAGCGAGACTCCGTCTCAAAAATAATAATAATAATAATAATAATTTGGACACAACTGAAGCAGGATCTAGAAGATAGTTAGAACAAAATTCATATATTAGAAAAAAATGAAAAGTCTCAGATCAATAATTTAAGCTCTTACCTCCATAATCTAAAAAAAAGAAAGAACATAAACTTTAAGCAAGCAGGCAAAGGGAATAAGATCAAAGCAGAAAATAATATAATTGAAATCAGGCTGGGAACAGTGGCTCACGCCTGCAATCCCTGCACTTTGAGAGGCCAAGGCGGGTAGATGACCTGAGGTCAGGAATGCGAGACCAGCCAAGCCAACATGGTGAAACCCGCTCTCTACTAAAAATACAAAAAAAAAAAAAAAAAAAAAAAAAAAATTAGCCAGGCGTAGTGACTGGTGCCTGTAATCCCAGCCACTCAGCAGGCTAAGGCAGGAGAATTGCTTGAACCCAGGAGGCAGAGGTTGCAGTGAGCCTGGATTGCACCAACCTGAGTGACAGAGTGAGGCTCAATCTCACAAAAAAAAAAAAAAAAGAAGTAAAATTAAAAGCAGAAAAATAATAGAGAAAATTAATTAAAGAGACAATTCTTTGGAAAGAATCCACCTAGACAGAGTGGTAAAGGAAAAAGATACACATTGCTAATTATGAGGAATGGCTTTTTTTGGATTCTTATGATTTGTGGCTGCTTCATTTTCTTTTCATGAATCATGACCAAATTCTACTGTTGATGTTTTAATGGGTCTGAAATTTGAACTTTTAAATGATTTAGGCTATAACAATTTTAGAATTAATTCAATCTTGTGGCATTAAGTTGTATTTATTAAACATTTCTATATTTTTATTTGATTATATAAATAATACATATGCATATAGAAATACAAATTCAAATAATATGTTACTATTCAAAATATATGGTAAAATTTCCCTCCCTTACCTTATTTCCCAATTCCACAAGTAACTTATAAAGAACAAAAAGAAAGTGAAAAGACTAGCCTTACTACACATCAACATTTATTTTAAAGCTCCGGTAGTTGACAGTGTTCCAGGTAGGCCAAAAAAGACCAATTAACCAACAAAATAAAATAGAAAAAAAGTCCTCAAACTTTTTGATTCCAAGATTTATTTATAATTTTAGAACATTATTGAGGATGTCGAGGGGCTTTTTTTTTTACTTCTATATTTATTATAGTCTAAATTAAATTAGAAAAAATAGAAATACTTAGTTGCTAATTTCAAAATAAAATTAAAAAGTAAAATGTAAATTTAAAATTTATTTTTAAATAACAAAATCAAACCTATAATATTATCAGCAATTTTCTTATGAAAAATGTTTTCCCAAACAAGCAAAAAATCCAAAATAGTTTTAATGTTTCCAGTCTATTTAATGTCTAGCTTAATAGAAGGCAGTGGAATTTTTATATCAGCTTCTGCATTAAAAGAGTTTCTGTGCATTGTTTTGTCGGACGTATGTGAAGAAAATCTGGGCTTACAATCTTACACAATTGGAAAAAAAAAGAATATTTTAATGCTTTTTTCAGATATTTGAGAATAATCTCTTTTGCAACCATAGCAAAATATGGCCAAGGGTAGTTTCTGAATGGCTTAATAAAGTGTGTATCTTAAACTGTATGTTAGTATCTATCCTAGCAGTGGACGAGTTCAGCTTGTGAAAGGTGTCATTCGTGAAGTAAATCACACATAATACCTTCTCATTAGATTATCAGTTTCTTATGCAACCTGAAGATTAGCTTAGGACTCCTAATTTCCATAATGAACAGGAGGACTAAAAAGATAACTGAGTTTCAAGGAAAGTCTATAATGTGTCCAAAGTAACATAAATAATAATTGATAAAGCTGGCATTCAAACTCAATTATGTATCTCTAAATTCTCCCCATAATCACACTTATATTCTACCTTCCTATAGCCAACTTGTTTCTAAACATTGCTTTAAAGAAAATCAGTGAAATAAAACCATTAAAAAAAAAAAAAAGAATGCATGCTCTGGTAGGTCATGGTGGCTCACATCCCTATAATCCCAGAACTTTAGGATGCTTCAGTGGAAGGATTGCCCGAAGCCAGGAGTTCAAGACCACCCTGGGCAACATAGTGATACCTCATCTCTACAAAAATATTAAAAAACTAGTTGGGCATGGGGGCACACTTCTGTAGTCCTAGCTACTTGGGAGGCTGAGGCAGGAGGATTGCTTAAACCCAGGAGTTCCAGGCTGCAGTGAGATATAATAATGCCACTGCACTCCAGCCTGGGCAACAGAGTAAGACCCTGTCTCAAAAAACAAACAATAAAAATGCATGTTCCTGTAAAATTCACAAAACTAAGGTGAATTTATATAAATCACTTTATCCTGGAGTTACAAAATATATCTACAAATAGAAGAAGACTTCCATCTATGAAAGGAAATGTGGCAAAATTAAAGAAAAACTGGAAGCAGAAATTTATAATACTGCAGCAACCACTTCTGTCTGGCTTGCAACTTTTCATTATTTGTGAAACAAAACTGGAGTGCTCTCACAGTAACTGAAATATAGTTTTTGTTTTTTGGTTTTTGTTTTTTTTTGTTGTTTTTTTTTAGACAGAGTCTTGCTCTGTTGCCCAGGCTGGAGCACAGTGGCGTGATCTCAGTTCACTGCAACCTCTGCCTCCCAGGTTCAAGCAATTCTCCTGCCTCAGCCTCCCGAGTAGCTGGGACTACAGACACGCACCAGCACACACTGCTAATTTTTGTGTATTTTTAGTGGATATGGGGTTTCACCCATATTGGCCAGGCTGGTATCAAACTCCTGACCTCAAGTGATCCACCCACCTCAGCCTCCAAATGTGCTGGGATTATAGGCCAGAGCCACTGTGCTGGGCCTGAAATATAGTTTTTCAGTATTTCCCTATAACAGGTATACTCTGTAAAACAGAATAAACAAAGTTTAATAGGTTTCCTATTTCAAAGCATAGAGAATTCTAAATTTAGAATTTTAAAGTAAAAGATCGACTAGTTCACCTTAATTGCCTCTAGATACATTTCTTGCCATTACTTAATAGAATGCAATTACTTTAAATAATATGACAGGTCCTTGTGAATTGTTAATTTCTCTCCTCAGTAACTATAACTTGTCTCTACCCTCTTTAAACAGGGCATTTAGATTTACATTTCCATTACATTGAGTTGTATGTAAACATCTGAAAAGATAGTGCCATCAGTGCCATCAGATAACACAAATGTAAATCTAAATAATTTATTACAATATGTACACACACACACACAATCATTCTCACACTCACCCATGGAATCATTGCAAATCTTTCTTCCTTTATATCTTTTGTAAATAATTAACAACAAAGGTAAATAGAACTCTGTCCACATGTAGAGTATATGTCATTTACTTTTACTAATATTTCTATTCTGTTTTAATACAATATAAACATTTCACTTTTTCAAACTTCTAGATACCGTTTCACTATATGAACCACATACTCGTAGTGCACAAATATATAAAAAGTACAATACCATGCACAAACCTAATTTATTATTCATGAATCTGTTAATTAGCCAGTCCCCAAACAGAGATATTACTCTATGCGTATTGGTGGGGCAGGGCTAGAGTGAAGTGGAAAAGTAGAAGCAAAAAAAACATTTTTTAATGTGAGCTATACACATAGTTTATGTGAGATAAAAATAATTTAAAATGACATACACCTGGAGTTTATTACAGTTAAAAAATAAAGCAATTACTTTTAGCAAATATGAAAATTCTTCACAAAGTTGATTTTTCATGTATCATAGTTACAGGTAAAAAGCTTTATTCATTCTCTGTCTAGCCCAGACACCTGGATGTGCCATTTCCATTACTTTGCTACCAGAACTATCAAATCTCTTCACTGCCATGCTTGCAAACAAAAATGATGGAAACTAGCAACAAAACATGAGTATTATCTTTGTCAGCATTCAATAAAAGAAGCAGATTAACTTCATTGAACTATTCACTTCATTGAATAGTTACTGCTACTGCTAGTGAGATGGCTTCCAGAATACCCTTTCCATTCATTGAATCAGCTTACTCAGTATCTTCTAAAAAGGTAGCAGAGAATACATGTTTTTTAAAATCTCAACATGTTCTAAATTTCATTTTAAGTATCTGTGAGTTGTAGAATAAACTAGATCTGAAAGGTACAGAGTCAATAACTAGCCTATGGAAACTTTTTCCAATCATCAGCCATATAAAAAGTTGTAACAAGATTAGGTTCCCATCAAGACCTAGACAAATTGGAAGTTCTCTCCTGTTAGAAAAATACTCAGCAAAGGCTGGGCGTGGTGGCTCATATCTGTAATCCCAGCACTTTGGGAGGCTGAGGCAGGCGGATCACGTGGTCAGGAGATCGAGACCATCCTGGCTAACACGGTGAAACCACATCTCTACTAAAAATACAAAAAAAAAAAAAAAAAAATTAGCTGGGTGTGGCGGGGGGCGCCTGTAGTCCCAACTGCTGAAGAGGCTGAGGCAGGAGAATGGCGTGAACGCGGGAGGCTGAGCTTGCAGTGAGCCAAGATCGCGCCACTGCACTCCAGCCTGGGTGACAGAGCAAGACTCCATCTCAAAAAAAAAGAAAAAAGAAAAATACTCAGCAATGCAGTATATAGTACTGTAAACACACTACATATTTATTTTCTTTTTATTCTAATTTCCTGAAATAAAATGGGTACTTTCCTATGTTAGGTTACACATGGAGTAAAATATCATATAGCGATTATGTTGGTGTGTAAAATTACATATTTTATGCAACCCAAGGTATGAGGATTATTTTACACAGTGTCTGAGAAATTTTTTTCCTGGTTAACTAGGGTGGTTAAAGAAGAAACAGTCAATCAAACTGTCATTGAAGCATCAAAATGATCCAAATAAATAAGTGTTCCCCCCCACAAGAAAACTTCTATGCATAATTACCAGGAATTCAACACATTATAATAATTATTTATAGCTGGGTGTTGTGGCTCAGGCCTGTAATCCCAGCACTTTGGGAGGCCAAGGCGGGCAGATCACAAGGTCAAGAGATTGAGACCATCCTGGCCAACGTGGGGAAACCCCGTCTCTACTAAAAATACAAAAAATAGCTAGGTGTGGTGGTGCATGCCTGTAGTTCCAGCTACTTGGGAGGCTGAAGCAGGAGAATCACTTGAACCCGGGAGGCGGAGGATGCAGTAAGCCAAGATTGTGCCCCTGCACTCCAGCCTGGCGACAGAGCAAGACTCCATCTCCGTAATAAATAAATAAATAAATAAATAACTGTAATCCCAGCTACTCGGGAAGCTGAGGCAGGTAGAATTGCTTGAACCTGGGAGGCAGAGGTGGCAGTGGGCAGAGATCATTCCACTGCACTCCAACCTGGGTGACAGAGCGAGACTCTGTCTCAAAAAAAAAAAAAAAAGAATTTACTTTTAATAACTTCAGAAAATTCAGTTTTAATTTTAAGATTCATTACCATTGTTCTTTTTAATTAATTTATGATTAATTTTGTATACCTTTTCAGAATTATTTCAGAATTCAAATGTGAGCAAAATGAAGTATACGAGTGGCAAATAAAAAAATCTAAATGTAAAGAAAATACCTATGGTATTTTTCATCTTTGAAAGATTCTAATTTTTTTGAATTATTTTCACACCATAAAACAAGCATTCATAAATAGACTACTTTTATAATTTTAATTATGAATCATTGTATCCTATCTTCCTTTTCTTTTTTTTTCTTTTTTTTTTGTGTGTGTGTGTTATTGTTGTTTGAGACAAGGTCTTACTCTGCCACCTAGGCTACAATGCAGTGGCATGAGGATGGCTCACTGCAGCCTCAACTTCCCTTAAGCGATCCTCGCCACTCAGCCTCCTGAGTAGTTGGGATGACAAGTGTGTGTCACCATGCCCAGCTAATTTGTTGATGTTTTGTAGAGATATATTCTTGCTATGTTACCAAGGCTGACCTCAAATTCCTGGCCTCAAGTGACCCTCCTGCCTTGACCTCCCAAAGTGTTAAAATTATAAGCATAAGCCACTGCATCTGGCCCATTTTAGTCTAAAAGAGTTCCCACAAATTACATTAGCTGTAGTTCCACAAAATCTGTATCTGTCCCTGACAATTATATATGTTTTCTATCTGGTATTAATAAAATCGTGTTTTGTAAATTTGACTGACATGTTGATTCTATTAAAATAGTGAATAAAAAGCTTATAGTAACCCCAGATGGTTAAGAGATGTTAAAGTATTTGCATATCAAATGGCTATTAATTCATTTGAGAGATCTGATCGTTATTTTTCTAAGATACTGAGGAGAAAAGCAATCACAGAATGAAAATAAAAGAGAAACACAATTTTTTGTATAATTTATCTGAATTATATATGGGTCTAAGCTTGACCTTAATTCAGAAAAATTATGTAAATCATAGTATTGGTTACTTTTAAATGATCCTTGGAAAAATACTCAATTTAAAAGTTAAAGATGTATTTATATATATTAAGCAGGTAGAATACTAAAAAGTTAAAATGCTTGAATTATAAAAGGTTGAATAGATTATTTTTTCATACTAGACTGTCTTTTTATTTTATAATCAAGTATTAATTACTATCATTTTCATGCTTTAAATAAAATATTTTTCTCTATTCTTAATGTGAAAAGCAATGTCTAATTGTTTAATTTCTTTTTATTTTCTATGAAACCTGAAAAAGAAGCTCACTTGATAGTAAAAATGGCTTAAGCTATCAGTAATGCGGTCTAATTTTCTCACAACTAAGACTTAGAAGGGTTCGCAATTCAAAACTGAATCTGCAACTTATCAAAAATTTCTCATTTATATTGTTCCATATATATTTCGTTATGCTGACCCACTTATGACATCAACTTGAAGAAAGAGCTGTAAAAAAATACACCTATCCAGCAGAGAGAAGCATTACATTTAAAAGTACTATTAAGTTCAAGAAGGTTATATCAGAAAAATTGTAAGGGATAATTTAAAATATGAAAATAGGTCAAGAGTAGGACATTAAATAAAGATAACAATTCTTTTTTAAGAATGTGCTTTCATTGGCAGATTTCAAACCATGGCACACTAAGCAATCAAAACATTCTTTCAAAAATCAAATATATTGAACAAGCATTCTTAAAAATATGCCTATCCTTAAACAAAATAATCCAGACATCAATTTTATCCTCAGCTGTGCTGCACCTATGTCTCTCTTTGTATTGTCTCATTTATTGAATAATTTGTTACCCACTTCTCTGTCAGTTTTGCTTTTCATCCTGAGCATTTCTATACCACTAACTTTTATTGACTCCAACAATATCTAAATTTTCAAGGATTTCAGTTTACAGCAGTTACTGACTACTGTATTTTGTGACTATAAATGGCGTCTTGCAAATGATTTTTTTAATATTCATAATTAAATATGGAGTTTAGAGGTCTTGACCCCAGATATTATGCTGGAACTTGTCATGACAACACAAGTCATTTAACTTCTCCAGGTTTCAGATTTTCTCAAATGTAAAAGGAAAGTGTTGGTTTAGAACAGAGGAGACACTGTCAATTCTTGAGAAGTCAAATTTATAACAATTTTACATAGCACTAAAATATCAATAAGTACATTAATTGCTATCTAGCAATCTTTGATTAACCATAAATCTTTCAGTTTACAGTCCTGCATGATACCACTTTTTAGAAATCAAATGACTAGACAAAGGTCTCTGCAATTTTTCACATGTAGCAGACATTATCAGTGCCCTGCTCAGATCACAGTGATTCCATTTACCATTTTCTCAGACTCATTCCCCAGCTTAAGTATGCTGTTGTTACTGTTCTTGAACTGAGATTCTTTTCAGAGAACTATTCATATGCTCCTGTAGCCACTTAGCCAACAAAGACCAGAGCCTGGAAGGTTTATTTTTCTCCTTGAAGCATTCCAGTAAACATTTATTCAGTCACTGGCCAATCAATAACTGATGTGATAGTCATTCTGTTACATCTCTATAGAGGGACAAACCTTGAGGAAAGATTTTCCTACAAAGATAGCCTGCAGTTGATATTTCAACTGAAATGGAACCCTTGCTTTTTGTCTTCCTCTTCTTGCTCTATTTTTTTCCATTCTTCAACAGTTTTTCTTAAGGTAATTTGTCTAATAAGTCAGTTACATAACACTTGTCTTAAGCTTTGCTTCTGAGCAACATGAACTAAGTCACCATACTTTATATTCATTCATTTATCTGTTTCACTTATTTATAACAAATAGCTTAATCTCATCAAGACTCTGGACTACAAACTTGCTGAAGACTTTGAAGGCTCAGATTTTATTACTTATGTTTTAGGACTTGCTTAAAGAGGTTTACCTGACAGTTGATCGTTATCAATATATTCTATTGCCATTGGTATTGTTATTATGTTTTATTTGCAATTACATATTTTGCTATTTTTAATTTATAGGTTATTTAAATTATAGAGTTAATTCCCAGTAAGAGTTGTAAAAACTTCGGGTATGTGACTTGGTCTGTATTTCAACTATGTAACTAAAAATTGTACTGATAATTGCATCAAATGGAAATGCAACGTGGTGGACACACACCAGGGAATGTTTACAGTTATAGAAACAAAGACTGGGGTAATGCATGGAAAGACGAGCAGATCTTAAAAACACAGTTGTTGAAAAAAGAACAGAAAAAACAAGATAAACAATAATAGTAAAATAATATTTAAAGATTGATCTGTATTAAACAATACTTATTTTCCAAAAGACAGAAAAAGACATGCAAATAGACATCCATTAAGATATTAGAATAATTATTTATGAGGTAGAGGTGGGAAAGGGAGAAAATAGAATTGATCAATCCATTAGCCAATCAATCAATTAAATAACAGAACAAATTATGCAGACCAATGATAAAATTAGGGCATTAACTGAGTGATCTAATTAACTTAACTTTCTTCATCTGAAGTTCAATTGGACAACATTAAATCAGAGCAATTTGCTACAGTTGAGGGGATGAAATAAAAGGACAATGAGAAAAATGTGATAAGAAAAAAACAAGCATGAATTAATTTAAAATGTATTTTCTTCAACGACTTGTTATGGTCTCAATGGTATCCCCACAAATTTCTATGTTGAAGACCTAGCCCCCAATGGGACTATGTTTGCATACAGGGCCTTTAAATCACAATTAAGGTTAAATGAGGTCATAAGGGTTGGGCCTCAATCTATTAATATGACTGGTGTTTTTATAGGAAGATGAAAAGATGCCAGGAGCTCATTAGCAGATGAATGGCTAAGTGGGGACAAAGTAGACAGAAGGCAGCAATCTGCAAGCCAAGGAGAGAGGCCTCTGGGGAAACATATCCCGCTTGCACCTTAATGTTGGTCTTCCAGCCTCCAGATTTGGGAAATAATATATTTATGTTAATTAAGCCACCCATTCTGTGATATTCAGTTATGGCAGTCCTAGCCAATTCATATACCAATTAATTTCAAATTATTGCTGGGTCTTTTCCTGAACTCTCAAACTTTCTGAATAATTGGAATAAAGTGAGGGTAACACTTTCTAAAATTATTCAGTTGACTCTTCTTTTTCATATTTCACCATATAATGTATTTGTCTTCCTCAGCCAAGGCACCTATGTGCCTTAGGATGTGGAGTTTTGGTGAGAGAAATGACATTGGGAGTGTGAGTGATTAGGCCTTGTGTAACTAAAACACTAAGCAAAATAAGAATAAATGTTCAGCTTTTGTTTACTAGAAGAGTGTATTAGTATAGAAACAGCAATCTCTTTGAAAGTGAAGCCTTGTTAAAAGAACACCATTTTCTGAATAGTATTACTATAGTTTCAATTAGCATGTCCTAAGCTAGTTCTGCCTAGCTAGATATAACATTTTATTACACGGGAAAAAAATATGATTTAACTAAATAAATTACCTCCCCACACCCAGTTCTGAGGGACAGTGAAATGGGGATGGAAATAGAAATCGAGGCAATAAGCCCCGGGTACATATATGGCTACATGCTGAAGGAGGAGATCCCAGAGACACAAGTGAGAAAGAGGGAGAGAACTAGACAAGTTTTTGTCTGGATTCTCATTTAAGGATCCTTTAGGCAACTTTATTGAAGGCTTCCCCTTCACTTCTTCAGTGGTAGACAAACACCTACAGTATGCTGTGTGTGTGTGTGTGTGTGTGTGTGTGTGTGTGTAAGAGAGAGAGAGAGGTAGGGGGGAGAAACCAAGGAAAAGAGAGAGAGGAGAGAGAGAGATTACACAGCAAAGCCTGAGTTTTTTTTTTTCCTTCATTTTCCAAATGGAGCAAAACACGCTTACATGTTCTATGTGCTTGAAGGAACTATGCTGAGACCATTGTAGTACAGCTGATTATCACAGTGGCAGCTAAGCGACCCTGTAGCCTAGGCCAGTTGAGTTTACCATGCAAGGCCAAAAAACAAATAAAAGTCCATTACATGTCAAGATCAGTGAAAGCTGAAGAAGTTCCCTCATGTCCCAGAGATCACCAATAGATCATGGAAGAGCTAAGAGAAAGACAAGATGAATATCTTCTAATTGTACAATTTGACTTCAGCCACCAGAAAAAAACCCATGAGTGAAATCTAAGCACACCACAAAGGAGTCATCCACCCTTAAGCAGAACACTAAGGACTGTGAAGCCACTTTCTAGTCCTACTCTCTTTAGACACTGAATACTGAGAATTTTAACTAAAACAAGATTGAGTTATCTAAAATACTGTAGCTCTAAAAAAACCACATCAGATATTAAAAATAGGAAACTACATTTATTTTACTAATTTGCAGCATATATGTAAATTTCTAATTTTGGTACAAAAATTTTCTCAGTTATTAAAGACAATGCTATGAAAAAGCTTCCCATAAGAAAAAAGAAGCTATGAGCTATAAATGTAGAGAAAACATTTAATTGCCTACACTTGTTTTCCTATTATGATGATTATCATTGCATTATAATTATTTGGTTGTGTGGCTGAATGTGAATATATAAATCTCTTGGAAAAGGTTTCTGTTAAGTATGTAAATCCTACACAAAAGCACTCAGTTCTAAATTAGTAATGTAAATTTTACAAAAGAACAAATAATTGAATGGTTCATTAAAAGTATCTCGGTGTATATGTTGTTACTGGAGAAAGATTTGTTTTAGCTGAGTGCGAATTGGGCCCTAAATAATATGGCTATTGCTTCAATTTTTCACAGCCAAATGATTTTTAAAAATACATTTATCTAAGACAAAACAAAAAAATGATTAACAACAACAAAAAAAAAAACTATTAGAACTATTCCCAAAGAGAAATTTTAAGTGCTTAAAAATAACTTTTAAATTACAGAACAATTATCCATAAAATAAAGGCAAATTGATGTTTACTAATTCATTTCTTATTATATGGCTATTTTAAAAAGATTCTTAATTCAAAAGAGGAAGCACATAATGTATTACAAAGGATGTCACTTAATTTGAGTACTCCCTGGGGAAGGTGGAGAGCGTGATTATTCTAACAAGCAATTAATCAGACTAGAATCAACTGTTATTTCATTTTAAATGTTGTAGATGTCATGTATCAGTTTATTATTTACTGGTAAATTGAAGGAGCTTTGAAGGATATGTTGATATTTTAAGTATTTCTCAATATAACTGATTATAAGTTGATAGAATTTTGAATCCTAAAGGAATGTAGAGGACATTTAGCCTCTAACAACCTCACTATTGAGAATTTATTCTTCAGAACTCCTGACAATCATTTAATTTTGTGAATAACTCCATTAAATGGGATTACAGTTTTATCTCTTCATTTATCTATTAGTTTGTTCATTTCTTCCTTCCTTCTTTTTTAATTATTTCTTATTTATTCTTTCTGCAAATGTATACTGACTGCCCTGTTTCAGAAAGTGACTAAAAATTAAATATGAAGATAAAAACCTACCTGGTTTATAGTGCCTTGTATTTTAGGATGCAAGATATGAAATAAATCAAGCACATTCAAGACAATGTAATGAGTGCTACAGGATGTCTAATTAGCAGATGATTTCCTGGAGTATTATCTAAGTTGACCTCTAAAGATGAGAATTATATAGGCAAAAGGGAAATTAAAACTGTTCTTACTTCTTTTCTTCCTTACTACTCCCCAGCAATTATTTTTCCCTTTTAAGCATCATAAAAAAACTGCTATTCATTTAAAAAAAAATAATTTAATTGAAAAAGTAGTTTGTAGATTTAATCAAATTTATCTCTGGATGCTTTTAATTCTCATTTTTTCTTATGGGATAATTCACAAGTATGTGTACCTCTTAAGATGATACTACTTCAAATACTCAGTGTCTTTATCTCCCTATATTATTTCCCTATATTAGTTTGCTAGTTTGCTAGGGCTGCCTTTACAAAATATCACATACTGGATGGCTTAAATACCGGAAATTTATTTTCTTTCAGTTCTGGAGACTGGAAGTCCGACATCAAAGTATTAGAAGGGTTTGTTTCCTCTGAAGCCTCCTCTCTTGGCTTGCATGTAGTCACCTTCTTGCTGCTTTGTACTCATATGGTTGTTCCTCAGTGCATGAGAACCCCTGGCATCTCTTCCTCTTCTAAGGACACCTCTCATCTCATATTGGATTATATCCCCACCAAGGGGTCTCATTTTAAATTAATCACCTTTTTAGTGAATCCATATACAAATATTATTATATCTTGAAGTACTTGGATTTGAACTTCACCCTGTGAAATTTGGGGGAACATAGTTTATCTAATAACAGTCTCAATTTTCTTTCCTGCAGGTTACATCTCCATTTCCACAGTCATTTCTGTTAGGACTTTACAGACTTTTTTTTTTCCAGTGCAGCTACTTCTTCTGGACGTGTCTCCTTTTGCTGGTGTCTGATTTAGGCATAACTATATTCAGGAATCTGAACAAGAGTTGATGATTGATGTTGAGGGGGCATATAACCACAGTTATGTGTTATGAGAGTAAGTGTATAGGCATGACTTCCGTTAGACTTGATTTGAATCATTTTTCAGCAAAAATAATACATAAAAGATCAGCAAGTCAGTTGGCTTCATTTGGAAAACAGCAAGTACAACAACACTGTATGGAGTGCGTACTGATTTCATAATACCTGCACTGGTGCTTGGCATATCATGAATATGCAAAACTTAAGTACTTCTTTTCTTTTTCTCTAGTGTGGCTGCAGGTGTATCATGTTTTCCCTAATAATTACGACAAACTCCTCTCATTCCCCATCTTATTTAAATAACTGTTTCCAAGTCAAGCCTTTCCAAGCTTAAACATATTACATTTTCTTTTTTAATTTAAAAGGCAAATTTTCTTCTTTAAAATGTTTTTCACCGGTATTTTATATTAAAATTTATTTTGTATGTCTTGCTGCAATACTGACTAAAAATTACAAATTTATACCCACACATATGTCTGTACATGTAAAATCATGATCTAATTTTGTTCTCAAGATAAAATCCTTATGGCTTTTGACCATAGGCTGCCCTGAAAATCCAATTTGAATTACTAATAATATAATTTTTCAGAGTTTTAATACAATAAAATGAAACTATCAAATAATATTGAAATTCTACCAATATTTAAAAAATATAATAATAATAATAATGTCTTTGTAGACATCCTTTTTAAAAAATTTAAGACATACAGTGTAAAAGTAACCTTATAAAATACTTGGTAACATTGTCATATAATATGATAAATTTGTTTAATAAATCTTGTGCTGGTTTTAATTTAATGGTCATCTTATCAGAATGTTTCTAATTTTTAAATGATTATCACACATATAATTTTGCCAGATATTAACATCAAGTTCAGTAATTTTTTTTCCATTTTTGAGTAATAGAAGAAAGTTTGCATAATCTTGTAATAAAAAGTTATTCACAAAACTTTTATAAAAGTGTTTTAATTCATCTTTCCTTCTTGACAATCTATTTCTGACATAGCCTAATATTTGCACTGTATTTTATTATTAATAGCATTCTTTTGAGACGGAAGACATAAATTGATATACAGTATAATCCTCCTGGATAACAATTCTTTTGTTGCTCTGAGTGATCAACTTGATTGGGCCACAGGGTAACCACATATTTGATTAACATGATTATGTGCATATCTGTGAAGATGTTTGTAGATGAAATTAACATTCAAATTGATAGACTAAATAAAGCAGATTGCCCTCCCAAATATGAGTTGGCCCAATCCAATCTGTTCAAATTATGAATAAAATTAAAATGCTGAGTAAGAAAGAATTTGCTCTCTCTGCCTATCTCTTAGTCAGGACATCAATCTTCTACTGCCTTCAGTCTCAGACTCAGCTTTCTATTTACCCCATCAGCTCCTCTGGTTCTCAAGCCTTTGGACTTGTAGTGGAACATATATAATCACTTCTCTTTTTACTCAGGGTCTTCAGACTCAGTTGGAACTATGCCATCAGCTGTCCTAGGTCTCCAGCTTACTGACTACAGGTCTTAGGACCTCTCAGCCCCAATAATTTCAAACAGCAACTCCTTATAAAAATATCTTTATATATGTTTTGGTACTGAGAGTGGTTCTAGAGGAATATAATGTTAAAATACATTTTCTTAATTGGTTCTGTGGTTTCTGGAATTGGTTCTTTAATGTGACTAGATTTAAAGATACCAATTACCCTATTTCAAACAGTGAAAAAAAAAAGCAGTGATAGTCCACAGCATAATTTGGCAATAGAGGAATAGAGATATGCAAAATATTTCCATGGAACATTCTTAATCCACCCTTATAAGCATGGAGCTGGATGTCTGGATACCTGATACTTTTGAATATTTTTGGAAAATGAATGAATATAGTTTGTCAATTGATCATATTGTCATTGGACAAAATGGTAAAATAAAAGAACAAGTTCAGGGATTTGAATTCCCAGCTCAAACATTCCATAAATAACCCAAAAGTTTATCTGTATGCCCTGAAGGAGATCCGTATAGCCAGAGGGCTAAAATGGCTGAAAATCAAATGCTGAATCTCATCTTATCACTGGCTGAATAACAAAGTAAGTTTAATTCCCAGCCTGGCAGGGTGTCTACTGTTAAATGAGGACATTAATTGGGAAACAATGGGAACCTGTAAATCTCATTATGGGAAGACCTTGAAGAAGCTGTGAGCTATTTAGAAAAAAAATCACTACTCTCTGTAAATTGGAATTTACAGTAGTAAATAAGTCACTGAATTGATAAACCTAAATGCAGTGAGAGTAATTGGATTCTAGCGTGGTAGGAGTCAGGTGAAGGGACAGCTTTCAGTAACCAAAGGCAAGGTGTGTGTGGTTACTATAATGGGACAGCAGAGTCAAAGCAGCAATCAGAATAGTCTGACTCAAACAGATGTACAGCATTGCCATATGGATACAGATAGAAAGCCTATCACATATTACTTCATTTGTATAAGCAAAAACTTCTAGGTCAAATGAAAAAAAGTCTAACTTGAATCAATAAAACAAAGTCATGGCCCCTCAATCAATTTCTAGCCTCGAGTCTGAAGACTTAGTACTCAGAATCCCTTGAAAAACAGAAAGGCAGTCTCCAACTCCCCAGTGTGGGTAGGCCTCATTCGATAAGTTTAAGATTTCAATACAACCGAAAGGCTGAATAAGGAGAATTCACTTTTTCTGCCTGTCTTCAAGCTGTGTCGTTGATCTTCTGCCCTTAGACTTGGGCAGAATATACCTTCTGCAACTACAGATCTTGAAACTGCTAAGGTTCCATAATTATCAGAGTGATTTCCTTATAATAAACATCTTTAAACTTATAATCTATCTATTTATCTATCACCTATCCTATTGGCTCTGTTTATCTAAAGAACTCTGACAAACAGCTTCTATCCTCATATTCTCAGGAATGTATGGTCTAACAAGCATTCATTAAAGACTAAAGTTTACTGCACAAGGGTAGTTTCTAAAGATGTAAAAAAATAAGTTTAATGGTCATTGAGAGACTGAAGAATTCTTCTTCCTAGAAAAGACACATGAAAGATAAATTGAGTATTTATGCCATTATATTTTTCTGTCATCTGTTAAAAGTATATAATCTAAGCACTTCCTATTTATTCTTTGTGCTACTTCTTACTCCAAACATACAGAGAAATATTTCATAATGTCTCTAACATCTTTTATGAATTTCATTTATTTAATAATTAAGCTTAAAATTGTTTTTCAGGGTTATGCTATTTTTTGTACCTATATGTGTTTCTATATTTCTTATTTTATTCTTAGAAAATAACTAACATAGTCAAATGGAAGAGTTCCTTGGGGACCCACACAAGAAAGAACTAAGATGCATATGCTAAAATAACATTTGAGTGTATGTACATACATCTCCAAACACATAACGAAATGTTTGATAGGAGAAATTCTAGATGGCTGTAATATGCAATATTTTGTTTATTTATGCATAGAAGAAAGAAAAAATATAGCAATATGGAATCCTGTATCCAGCAAAATTAACCTTAAAGATTAAAGCAAAAATAAAAGGCTTCTGAGACAAAAATTGACAGAATTTATTACCAGCAAAACAGACCTGACCAACAACAAATGTTAGAATAATTTCCTTAGACAGACAGAAAATAACATAGAGGAGAAACTCCTAATTTTTAATCTGTGTAAAAAATAAAGATCATTGGAAAATAAATAAAGGTAAATATACATGCCCGTAAATATATATACATATATATGCAACTTTTAAACATTTTTTATTGACTAGAAGACAACTGCTTATTTAAAATAATGTTAATAACAAGGTAGTAGCTAATTCTAGCATATAGAAATGAAATGAATGAGAGCAATGTCACAAGAAACAGGAGACAGAAATTAGAAATATTCTGCTATAAGATACTTAAACAATATGTGAAGCAGAAGAGTATTATTTGGAGATGGATTTAGATAAGTAAAAATTTACATTCAAATGTAAAACAGCCACTAAAAAAATACCAAAGAAGAAGTATAATTGGTACAGTAGTTGTGAGGGTAAATGGTATATGAAATGTGTAATTAAAGTCAGAGATGGCAAAAGAGGGAAAGAAAAAGAAACAAAGAGCAAATGTGATGTGTAGAAAACAGTTACAAATATAGTAGATATTGATACAACTACATCAATAACTTTAAATATGAAAGGTCTAAATATATTAATTTTAAAATGCCACTTAAAAGTAGGAAACTCTCACTGTGAATTTTTTTTAAAGATTCCATTACAGATTGTCTAAAAAAAAAGAAAAAAACTTAAAGATTCAGATAGGTTAATAAGAAGAGAGAATGATAAACCATACTAACATTAATCCAAAGAAATCTGGACTAAGCAGGCTTCAGAGAAAGACAGATTATCAGTAATAAAGAAAGCCATTATGCAATAATAAAGAGCCATTATGCAATTATAATTTAAATATAATAAATTATCTAAATATAAATAAATTTAAATTTGAAGAAAGATACAAATTTAAATCATGCATGTGCCTAACAACAGTGTGTCAAAACATATGAGACAAAAAACAATAGAGTTTAAAATACAAATAGACTGATCAATTATTATTAATCTAGACTTTAATTTCCCTCTGTCAGGAATTGACAGATCAAGCATGTATAAAATCAATAAAGATATAGATAAGTTGAACAGCACTAAATTAACTGGAATTTTTAAAATACTCCACCCGACAACAGCAAAATTTACATTCTCATCAAGCTCTCATAAAACATCCATTAAGATAGACCACAGTCTGGGCCTTAACTAATTTAAAAAGTAGACATCATGGAAAGCATGCTCTCAAACCACAGAAAAATTAAAAATCAATAACAGAAATATGGCTACAGTACCCTTAAATATTTGAAAATTAAGCAATTCATTTCTAAATAACCCATGGGTCAAAGAAGTCTCAAGATAAATTTTTAGAATAGTTTGAACTATATGAAAACAAAATATAACTCATCAAATACATAAGATGTTAATCAGTGCCTAAATGGAAATGTAGCTCACTAAATGCACATATTAGTAATTTTAAACAAACTATTAGCAAATCATATGTAACCATGTATGAAAAATTATATGTCAGAATCAAGTGGGCTTTAATTCAGGCATGCAAGGCTGGCTCAGATGTGAAAAACCTTTGATAAAATTCAACAATTATTTGTTTTATACTTAGAGCAAACTAGAAATACATGGGAACTTGCTCAACCTGCTAAAAAATGTATAAAAATGTAGGGTATATTTTATCTATAGTTGTAACTATATATATTGTTTCCTATAGAAATACAAATATATATAACTATATACACAGTTACATATAGCAATATTTATAGTTATATATATAGATACCTGAATTAGTATGTATACATCTATTTCCATACTCTGTCAGCTAAAACACTTGGAAGCAACAACACCCCACTAATCATGACCACACCTAACACCGAGGACTGTTTTCAATATATTTTTCAACAAAATAAACTGTGGATCCTTGGAGGAATAGCTGATTGTAAGATTAAGGCAGGAAACACATAAAAAATGATTAGAGTATATTGCAGTGTCAGAAAGCAAAACAGTAGTACAGACACACACACTTACACACAAATACACACACAATAATGGGAGTATATCAAAAGTACACAGGTGAAAGCCAAATGAATAAAACCTCTACATGGCTATCTTAGTCTGTTCTCATGCTGCTGTGGAGAAATATCTGAGACTGGGTAATTTATAAAGGAAAGAGGTTTAATTGAGTCACAGTTTTGCATGGCTGGGGAGGCCTCAGAAAACTTACAATCATGGCAGAAAGGGAAAGCAAACACATACTTCTCCACATGGCAGCAGGACAGAAAAGTGCAGAGTGAAGGGGGGAAAAGCCCCTTATAAAATCATCAGATCTCATGAGAATACACTCACTGTAACAAGAACAGCATGGAGGTAAGCACCCCCATGATTCAATGACCTCACACCGGGTTCCTCCCAAGACACGTGGGAATTATAAAAACTATAATTCAAAATGAAATTTGGTTGGGGACACAGCCAAACCATATCACTCTGCCCCAGCTCCTCCCAAATCTTATGTCCTCACATTTCAAAACACAGTTGTGTCTCCTCAACAGTCTCCCAAATTCTTAGCTCATTCCCGCATTAACTCAAAAGTCCAATCCCTAAGTCTCATCCGAGACAAGGCATGTCCATTCTGCCTATGAGCCTGTAAAAACAAAAGAAAGTTAGTTACTTCCTAAATATAATGGGGTTACAGGCATTGGGTAAATATGCATATTCCAAATGAGAAAAATTGGCAAAAACAAAGGGGCTACAGGTCCCATGTAAGTCTGAAATTTAACAGGACAGTCATTAAACCTTAAATTTCAAAATGATCTCCTTTGAATCTATGTCTCACATCCAGGTAACACTGATGCAAGAGGTGAGCTCCCACGGCCTTGGGCAGTTTCACCTCTGTGGCTTTGCAAGGTACAGCTCCCTGCACCAGCTGGCATTCAGTGTCTGTGGCTTTTCCAGGTACACTATGCAAGCTGTTGGTGGATCTACCTTCTGGAGTCTGGAAGAAAATGGCCCTCTTCTCAAAGCTCCATTAGGCAGTCCCCCAGTAGGAACTCTGTGTGGGGGCTCCAACCCCACATTTCCTTTCCACACTGCCGTATCACAGGTTCTCTCTGTGGGTTCCACCACTGCAACAGATTTCTGCCTGGACATCTAAGCGTTCCTATACAGCCTCTAAAATCTAGACACAGGTTCCCAAACTTTAATTATTGTCTTCTGTGCACCCACAGGACTAACACCACTTGGAAGCTGCCATAGCTGGGGGCTTGCACTCTCTGAAGAAATGACCTGAGCTATACTTTGGGCCCTTTTAGCCCTTGCTGGAGAGGCAGGGATACAGTCCTGAGGCTGCACACCACAGGAGATCCCTGAACTGGGCCCACAAAACCATTTTTCTCTCCTAGTTCTCCAGGCCTATGAGGGGAGGGGCTGTCATGAAGATCCTGACATGCCCTGGAGACATATTCCCCATTGTCTTGGTGATTAACATTCGGCTCCTTGTTACTTGTGCAAATTTCTGCAGCCGGCTTGAATATCTCCCCAGAAAATTGGTTTTTCTTTTCTAGCACATCACCAAGGCTGCAAATTTTCCAAACTTTTATACTCTACTTCCTCTAGGTCAGGGGCAAAAAGCCACCAGTCTCTTTGCTAAAACACAGCAATCATCGCCTTTGCTCCAGTTCCCAAGTTCCTCATCTCCATCTAAGACCACCTCAGCCTGGACTTCAATGTCCTTATCACTATCAGCATTTTGGTCAAAGTTATTCAACAGGTCCTAGGAAGTTCCAAACTTTTTCACATCTTCCTGTCTTCTGAGCCCTCCAAGTCTCTAGGAAGTTCCAAAATTTCTCACATTTTTCTGCCTTCTTCTGAGTCCTCTAAACTGTTCCAACCTCTACCTGTTACCAAGTTCCAAAGTCACTTCCACATTTTTGTGTATCCTTTTCGCAGTGCTTCATTCTCTATGGTACCATTTTACTGTGTTAGTCTGTTCTCACACTGCTATGAAGAAATACGAGAACTAGGTAATTTATAAAGGGAAAGAGATTTAATTGACTCGCAGTTAAGCATGGCTTGCAAGGCCTCAGGAAACCTACAATCATGGTGCAAAGGGGAAGCAATCACATCCTTCTCACATGGCAGAAGGAGAGAGAACTGCTGAGCTAAAGGGGGAAAGCCCCTTGTAAAACCATCCGATCTTGTGAGAACTCACTCACTAGAATGAGAGCTGCATGAGGGTAACTGACCCAATGATTCAATTACCTCCTACTGGATCCCTCCCACAACATGCAGGGGTTATGAGAACTACAATTTAAGAGGAGATTTGGTGCAGGACACAGCCAAACCATATCAATGGCCAAAGCTCGAACAATCTGGACAACAAAATAAAATGTCCGTTAGTTTATTTTGTTACTTTAAAAAATGAACAAATAAATACATTTTAAAAGAGAGAGGAGACAAATCTTCCATGTGGAAAAATCCCAAATAATTTATGCATGCATCTCCCCTTAAGGAAGCAGAGCACAACTTTCCACTCTTCAAGTGTGAGTTGTGCACATTACCTCTTTCCAAACAGTATAATACAGAAAAGAACAAAAGAGTAATTTCACAGTGAAGCAATTTTATTTATTTATTTATTTATTTATTTATTTTCTGAGATGGAGTCTCGCTCTGTCGCCCAGGCTGGAGTGCAGTGCATGATCTCGGCTCACTGCAAGCTCCACCTCCCAGGTTCAAGCAATTTTCCTGCCTTAGCCTCCCGAGTAGCTGGGACCACAGGCACACACCACCATGCCTGGCTAATTTTTTGTATTTTAGTAGAGATGGGTTTTCACCCTGTTGCACAGGCTGGTTTCGAAATTCTGAGCTCAGGCAATCTGTTCCCATGGGCCTTCCAAAGTGCTGGGATTACAAGCATGAGCCACCGTGCCCTGCCACAATGGAGCAACTTTAAAAACACTACCTCTGCCGGGTGATCGGGGTTAACATCAATGATAATAAGTCATGTTCTTGGCATGTGCTTTTAATATGATATGGTAAGAATGGGCTCTTACCCCTGTCGTCTCCCTTCTAAAAATCTTAATATCAGTCTAAGAAAAACTTAAAAAGAAAAAGAAAAACAATAGAGGTACATTCTCTGAAATACCTAACCAATTCTCTTCAAAACTCTGAAGATGATCAAAAACAGTCTGAGAGACTGTCACTGACAAGAAAACCCTAAGGAACATAACAACTAAATGAAACATGGTATCCTATATAGGATCCTGAAACATAAAATGGACATTAGCTAAAAACTAAGTCAATCTGAAATCTAAGTAAATTTTAACAAAGTACATATTTCAGTTAGTGGTACTATATCAATATCAGTTCATTAATTGTAGCAAATGTATTATGCTAATGTGACATAATAAGAGTAGAAACTAGGAGTTGTGTATGTGGAAACATTGTACTATCTTCTCAAATTTTCTAAAATCTAAAATTAAAATATATATACACATATATGTATATAATATTTATACATATACACACGGTATATATATACACACACTATATCTGTAACTATAATGTATCAATATATTCACAATGTATATAGTATTTGTATTTGGTATGTGTATGTGTAGATCAATATGTGTGTGTGTATATATACATATGGCATGTATATACATAATACCATTTGCAGGTTTCATGGTGGAATTTTGTATTAAAGCTTTTCAATGGTAAGCAGAAAATTGTTTAGAGCAATTACAAGATCTAGAGATATTTTAATCCAAGAAATAAGCCTAAATCTGAAGACCAAATTAACAGAAATATGATTTCTGAAGCATTTTGAAATGTACTTCTCTGTTCCAGACAGAAAAGTTTGAAAAGTATGTACTTTTTCCTAGAAAAGTACATTTTAAACTTGTATGAATTTCAATTATGTCTAAAAATTCAACACAATCAAATGTTGTATGTGTCAACTATTTAACTCCCCTGATAAAATGTACCTATCATTCACAAGAGCTCATAGAGCAATGAGCAAGGAGGAGTGGGTATGATTTGAAAATAGCCTGCATGGTTCATTCTGACTTGAACCATAGGAGGATATGCCTCATCTACCTGAGAATTACTGATTTACACAGGAACATATGCATATTTAATAAAAAGCAATTTAGTGCAATATATATGTGTCTAGACTTTAGAATTGTGTGAACGTAGGGAATTTTATTTAATCTCTCTGTGCCTTAGATTTCTGATCTACAAATGGGCATAGTAATACCACCAAAGTCTTAAAGTGTTTTGAATAGTAAATGAGTTCAGAAATATCAAATGCTTAAAATAATCCTTAGTACATAATAAGAGCATAGCTGTATGCTAATTCTATCTTGCTACCTCAGTGTTATTCTTTTTCCCATGTATTCTGCTGTTGCTTCATTTCCTATTTCTTTATTAAGATTATTTGTTAAATACTTATAATATGTCCTACCCTGTACTGTCCTCAGCACTTTACATGTAATGGATCAATTATCTTTACAGCAACTAGGGAGGGTGTACATTATTGTCTATATTAAGAAACTGAGGAACAGAAAGAACTAGTGAACATGTAAACTTATTTAATGTCATACAGCTTGTACATGGCAAAGCCAGATTTCTAACCTGGACCTCAGCAACTACAGGTCTATGAGATTACCTGCTATAATGTACTGATATGTGAATTTTGACAGGGAAAGTAAAAAAGTGTGTGTTCTTGTTTGCCTCTAAAGAATCTGTAGTGTTTCAAAGTGAACTTAGGATAGATGGAATATATATGGCCAATATGTGGTCCCTGGAACCAGATATCCTGACTTAGCAAACATGCTCTACTAGTTAGTAGCCTGGTGATCTGGGGTAGGGCAATTTACTTCTGTGCCTCAGATGTCTTATTTGAGGATTAAGTAAATGTATTAGTCCATTTTGACACTGCTGATAAAGACATATTCGAGTCTGGGAAGAAAAATTGGTTTCATGGACTCAAGAGTTCCACATGGCTGAGGAGGACTCACAATTATGGATGAAGGTGAAAGACACTTCTTACATGGTGGTAGCAAAAGAGAATGAGAGAGAAGTAAAAGTGGAAACCCCTTATACCACCATCAGATCTTGTGAGACTTATTCATTACCAGGGGAACAGTATGGGGAAAACTGCCCCCATGATTCAATTATCTCCCACCAAGTCCCTCCCATAACACATGGGAATTATGGGAATACAATTCAAGATGAGATTTGGGTGGGGACACAGAGCCAAACCATATTATTCCATCCCGGTTCCTGCCAAATCTCATGTTCTCACATTTCAAAACCAATTATGCCTTCCCAAAAGTCCCCCAAAGTCTTAACTCATTTCAGAATTAACTGAAAAGTCCACAGTCCAAAGTCTCACCTGAGACAAGGCAACTCCCTTCTACCTAGGAGCTCGTAAATTCAAAACCAAGTTAGTTATTTCCTAGATATAATGGGAGTACAAATATTGGGTAAATACAGCCATTCCAAATGGGAGAAATTAACCAAACAAAGGTTCTACAGGTCCCACGCAAGTCCAAAATCCAGCAGGGGAGTCAAATCTTAAAGCTCAAAAATGATCTTTGACTCTGTCTCACACCTATGTCATGCTGATTCAAAAGGTATGCTCCCACTGCCTTTGGCAGCTCCACTGCCTTGAGATGCAAAAGGTGGGCTCCCACTCCCTTAGGCAGCTGCTTTCACTGGCTGGCATTAAATGTCTGCAGCTTTTCCAGGCACACAATCCAAGCTATCAGTGAATCTACAATTCTGGGGTTCGGAGAATGGTGGTGGCCCTCTTCTCATAGCTTTACTAGGTGGTGTCTCAGTAGGGACTCTGTGTGAGGGATCTGACCCCACATTACCCTTCTTCACTGCCCTAGCAGAGGTCCCCCATGAGGGCCTCGCTCCTGCAGCAAACTTCTGCCTGGGCATACAGGTGTTTCCGTACATCCTGTGAAATCTAAGCAGGGGTTCCCAAACCTCAATTCTTGACTTCCATACACCTGCAAGCTTAACACCATGTAAATGTTGCCAAGGCTTGGGGCTTTCATCTTCTAAAGTCACAGCCTGAACTAAACCTTGGCCCCTTTTAGTCATGGCTGAAGCAGCTGGAACACAGAGCACCAAGTCCCTAGACTGCACACGGCACAGAGACTCTGGGCCCAGCCCACAAAACCAATTTTTTCCCCCTAGGCCTCCAGGCCTCTGATGGGAGGGGCTGCTGCAGTGGTCTATGACATGCCCTGGGGTAATTTTCCCCATTGTCTTGGGGATTAACATTAGACTCATTGTTACTTATGCAAATTTCAGCAGCTGACTTGAATTTCTCATAAGAAAATGGATTTTTCTTTTCTATTGCATTGTCAGGCAGAAAACTTTCTGAACTTTTATGCTCTATTTCCCCTTTAAAACTGAATACCTTTAACAGCACCCAAATCAACTCTTGAATGCTTTTCTGCTTAGAAATTTCTTCCACCAGAATACCCTAAATCATCTCTCTCAAGCTCAAAGTTCCACAAATCTTTAGGGCAGGGGCAAAATGTCGCTAGTCTCTTTGCTAAAACATAACAAGAGTCACCTTTGCTACAGTTCTCAACAGGTTTCTCATCTCCATCTGAGACCACCTCAACCTGGATTTCACTGTCCATATCATTATCGGCATTTTGCTCAATGCCATTCAAGAAGTCTCTAAGTAGTTTCAAACTTTTCCACATTTTTCTGTCACCTTCTGAGCCCTCCAAACTGTTCCAACCTCTGCCTGCTACCCAGTTCTAAAGTTACTCCCTCATTTTCGGATATCTTTTCAGCAGCGCCCCACTCTACTGGTACCAATTTACTGTATTAGTCCATTTTCATGCTGCTGATAAAGACATACCTGAGACTGGAAAGAAAAATAGGTTTAATGGACTCAAAGTTCCATATGGCTAAGGAGGCCTCGCGATCATAGCAGAAGGTGAAAGGCACTTCTTACATTGTGGCAGCAAGAGAGAATAAGAGAGACATGAAAGCAAAAACCCCTTATAAAACCAGCAGATCTCATGAAATTTATTCATTACCATGAGAACAGTATGAGGAAAACTGCCCCATGATTCAATTATCTCCTACCAGATCCCTCTGACAACATGTGGAAATTATGAGATTATAATTTAAGAGATTTGTCTGAGGACACAGAGCTAAACCATATCAGTAAGATAAAACTATAAACACTCATATTGATGGATCAATACCTGTAAACTAATGGAAAGTGTGTTCAGAACAGAGTAATGTAGGCTATAATAAATATTATTAAATTGTTATTAGTATTATTTCAGATAAACTTAAGAATCAATACGTTCATCAGAAAATTGTCAAAAGAATATAAATCATTCCACCATAAAGCCACATGCACACATAATGTTCATTGCAGTCCTATTCACAGTAGCAAGGTCATAGAATCAACCTAAATGTCCATCAGTGGTAGACTGGATAAAGAAAATGTGACACATATAACCCATGGAATACTATGCAGCCATTGAAAAGAATGGGATCATGTTTTTTTCAGCAACATGGATGTAGCTGGAGGTCATAATCCTAAGCGAACTAACTCAGGAACTCAAAACCAAACACCACATGTTCTCATTTATAAGTGGGAGCCAAACACTGAGTACACATGGACACAAAGAAGGAATAAACAGACACTGGGGCCTCCTACTTAAGGGTGAAGTATAGGAGGAGGAAGATGATGGAAACACTGCCTATAGGGTACTGATATGGTTTGGCTCTGTGTCCCCATCCAAATCTCATCTCAAATTGTAATCTCCATAATCCCATGTTGAGGATGGGACATAGTGGGAGGTGATTGGATCATGGGAAGCAGTTTACCCCATGTTGTTCTCATGATAGTGAATGAATACTCATGAGATCTGACGGTTTTATAAGGGGTTCTTCCCTCTTCGCTACGTCACTCCTCTCTCCTGGTGCCTTGTGAAGAAGCACATGTTTGCTTCCCTTTCCGCCATGATTGTAAGTTCCCTGAGGCCTCCCCAGCCATGTGGATCTGTGAGTCAATTAAACTTCTTTCCATTATAAATTACCCTGTCTCAGGCAGTTCTTTATAGCAGTGTGAAGTAAGACTAATACAGGTACTATGTTTACTACCTGGATGAGGTATTAAAATAATCTGTACTCCAAACCCCCATGACACACAAATTTTCTATATGCATATATTTTTTCATTGTATACCTGTGTGAATTTTTTGCCTATAGAGCTCACTTTCTGCCTATCTATTGAAATGCTGATTTTGCAATTGTCAAGTCCTTCTGTCCTGCTTTATTCAAAGACCATTTTATTCCATTTTCATAAATCTATTATATTCCTACAACACATATAGTCTAAATCATTTCTCATATGATGACTTTGAACTATTATTTGCATTGTTTACTGGTGTTGAAACTTTTTAATACATTTGTCTTTTTCTGTTAATTTTAAATTAAGCACTTGGAAGACAGAATTTTCTCTCATCACCTACACGAACTTTCAGTAGATTGTGCATAAAAATGGATTGTTTGTTAGGTTACACTGATAATGACTACACTAGTAAAATTTGATGACTGAAGCTTTATAAAATGGCTTAGTTATATGTAGTCTAATTTATTGTAGCATTTATTCCTGATATTCCTATGAAATAATGTCTTAATGAATGTAGAAAGTGAAGTATTATTTCTATCTAATGTCAATAACAGGTGAAAACTGTTGCAGAATAACTTTCTTGATACCCATCTAAAAAGCTTTCAGAGACTTGTTTTGCTACTGTCTCTGCAGGGCAAGTCCCTGAATAGCCTTTGCCAATCCAGCTCTTCCTTTCTTGCTTGCTTGTAGTTCTCAAAAATAACTGTAGAATTTGCTGGGAATTCAACACCCTGAGACAAAAAGAAACTGTGTAGAACAGTCCAGACTCTGTTCTTGCCCCTCCTAGAACAGAATGTCCTGCAATGCTTTAGCCTAGAGTGCCAAATCAGCCCTGGGGGATAAAATGCAGAGTGAAGTGGTTGTCAGCAACCTTCGGCTGTCATGCAATGCATGATGCAGGTGCACACAAGACATTGAAAAATAATCATTTGTTTCTCCTAAGAAAATTCAGATGAATTCTATTAAATCAATATGGTTATTAATTTTATAAACTAATTGCTTAAATGTGATAATAACTTTCTATCATTGATGAGATACATTTTTTAATGCTTTGGTTAAGTTATAAAGTATCTTATATAAAACAATATATTAGTTCAAATTTACAATTTAATTGGAAAACATCTTCTTATTATGAAGAGAAAACTGCTTGAGATTTAAATAAAATAGCCCATCAGCACTATTGATTTTCTCCCTGCTGTGACCCATATCCCATTATCGTAGGATGATGATCAGACCGGTATTGAGTCCTATTGAATAAAGCCTTTCAAAAAATTCTACATAATTAACTCTTTTTAAAATATCAACTCACGAGAAAAAAATATTCATTAATTGTCTCTACTGTGTTTAATACAATATCAACTTTATTGAATATGCCATATAATCTATTATACAACCTGAAGCATAATTGAGATAGACCTAGCCTCAAGCTAGTTAAAAAATAAGTTACCAGAATTACAACCCACTGATCCACTCAGTAAGTCAGGCTTATTAGGTTGCTGACTTCCACATGAAAATATTCAGAGCCCCTGCCAAAAATATCAACCTCCAAATCTATTTTTGTATTTTTAGAAGCAACAATAATTTAAAAATATATACTTCAAACTCTGTAGAGGAGATTTTTTTCTTGCTTGTTAGTGGTAACTGTAAATGCATCAGGTGTAAAATACAACATAATATGTCTTTTGAGAATATGTGGCCTTAGATAAAATGATTTTATATGCAACACATTCATAGAGCTTATGTTAGCTAAATTGAGATAATCCTTAGTATACAAACCTTAAGGTATTCAGAGACTCATCATCACTCTGATCATTAAAATAATAGCTAGCCCCCAAGGGACTGTGGTTTTAGAATAAGAAACAGCCAAGTATGTGATATCTTAGGGGTGGTAGCAAGAAAATAGACCAAGACAGCGTATTTTCATGCCATCTGATACCTGATGAAATGTAAAATGAGTAATAAAGGCATTTAACGTTCACACATTTTCTACCCTCACTGCTTCTATCATATCAATGCTCCACAATAACTATCACCTTCACCCCATCCTTATTTAAAAATTAGTGTTGCTAATTTTTGCTCGAAGTTAATTGAATTTCAGTGAAATCAAATGGAAATAATTTGTAATTGTAACAGCTTCCACAGCAAAAGCTGACTTAAAACAGATGTTCAGATAAGGTTTATTATTTTTATGTATCTATGCTAAGGGTCTATCAGCTGGAGTCTTGATCAAGGGTACATATTTATGGTATTATAAGGTCAAAATAAGTGTCAGTGATGGTCAAAGTCCAATTTAACAGAAGAGTCTTCAAAAAATCTAAGTTTATTTTGAGACAGGTTGATCATCTTGAGTACACCAAATTTCTTAAGTGCACCCTAGAAAATCTATACTATGTGACACATTTAGAAGAAAACTTAGTTTTTAATTATTTAAATAGTGAAGAATTAAAATACGTGGCATAATTTGTAGATTCATATCATTTGTTCTACTACTTCTTATGTTCTGGTTCATAGGCGTAAGCAGAAAAACAGATACAGCTTAGATTAGTAACAGAGGCTGCTTTCTTACATAATAAGCTTGTTAACGCCACCTTGGATTCAGGAATGATAGAATCAAATTTCCTAGTGACTCTTATTCCCATTGAGGCAGCTGTTAATCTTTCTGGCTTGAGCAGTAATCTCACACCCATCCTCAGATACTACCTGTGAAATCTCAGATTCCACGGGAGGACTTAGACTTGCCAGTCTTCACAGCCTCCCCTAAGCTTGCAACCAAAACCTCTTCACAATTGCTGGGCTTTAAACACAGATGCTACACCACCCTATGGATCTAATTAGGCCAACTTTATAGATATTTACATATTCAATTCAACTATAATTTTAGCTAATTGGACTTAGCTATCTAAAAGATGCATGAAGCAAGTCATTTGTCAAATGAGTTACATCATTTGAGTAAGTTCTCAAACTCCCTGAAATCTCCTCTTTATATATCTCAGCGTTTTATGCTTTTGATGTGAGGAAGGGGGTAAAAGTTAGACCTCTGATATTTTAGTGAGAGGAGGTTCTTATAAGCTCTTAGATGATAAATGCAAATCACCTGTACTGAAACAGTTATCTGGTATATCTTAGCCTTGGTGACTCAAATGATATTGAACTATAGTCAGTGACTGATGACAGGTGATTAGTGTCATAGAGTTAAATCTTACATTTAAAAAATTGAGTTAACTCTAACACAAATATATCAAGGAGATGTCTACAAAATGACAATGCCTTCTATTTTTCAGGACTAAATGGAATCATGAACTAAAATATAATATATCCAGGTATCAATATATTAATTATACTCCACTTTTCAAGAGAGTCAGCTGAAAAGTATAGTCATGCTTTAAACTATAGCATAAATAAAGATTGAGAACTTTGATGTAGACATATAAGCTCAATTTACAAATCTGTTAGTCGTTGTGAACATTAGGTTCCCATTTAACTTCAGCCCTGCCATCTAACATTTGTTTCTTGTAAAATCAAATGGCATATTTTATTATTTAGAAAATATGAAGAGGATGTTGAGATGGTGAGAGAACAGTTTTAGTTATCTATTGGTGTGTAACATACCATGCTAAAACATAGTGGCTTAAAAACAACAGTCATATATTTGGTTCACTAATCTGGATTTTGAGTGGAGAGTCCATTAGAGGTGGGTTAGCTTTCAGCTGCGAGTTCAGCTTAGGTTATTGGTCTGCAGGTCTCAGTTCCTCTCCTCATACACAGTCTGATGGCTGGGTGCTAAGTGGAAGTGTTCCAGGAGCTAGAAAATGGAAGGTCCTATTTTCTTAAGGTCAGACCTGGAAACAAGAAGAGCCTCAATTTAGCCATATTTAATTGATCCATATAGTTGCACAGGCTGCTGAAATGCAAGACAAAATAACCTAGCCCCACATCCAGGTGGGAGGAGTGCCAATATTTTATTTACCTCATCTTTAATTTACCTCAATTGCTAGAATATATATTGCAGCTCATTTTTTCTAGCTTACTTTTCTTTTAGATATGTAAGCTGAAGATTAGAGATTTTATCTGATCATCTTTAAGTGTCATAGTGGTAAGAAATGGGGATGATAACAATAAGTCACATTTTCCATCACTATTGAGGAATAATTGACAGTTAAAAGTTGTATGTATTTAAAGTGTATATTTTGATTTTCTTATCTACATATACATTGAAGAATAATCACCACAATCAAGCTAATTAATCACAAATATACAAAAAACATTGAATTTTATACTTTAAAATGGGTGAAGTATATGGTATGTGAATTATACCTCAATAAAGCCACTAATAAAAACAAAAAACAAGCAAAAAATCACTTTTAGTGAGGATTTACTATGAACCAGAAAGCATAAGGTTATTTTGTGCATATTAACAATTTAATCCTCCTAGCAACTCTATATGTATATATATACATACATATATCCATATATATTCATATTATATCTCCATATATATTCATGGAGGATATGTGTATGTGTGTGTGTGTGTGTGTGTATATATGTGTATATATATCCATAGAGGATATGTGTGTGTGTGTGTATATATATATATCCATAGAGGATATGTGTGTGTGTGTATATATATATATATATCCATAGAGGATATGTATATATGTGTGTGTGTATATATATGTGTGTGTGTATATATCTATAGAGGATATGTATATATGTATATATGTGTGTATATATATCCATAGAAGATATGTGTATATATATATACACACACATATCCGTAATATGTGTGTGTGTGTATATATATATATACATATATATATACATATATATATATACATATACATATATATATACACATATTAAAGTTGAAGCACTGAGAGATTAAATAACTTGCCCAAGGTCACACAGCTAGTAAACAGAAGAGTGAGAAATTAAACACAATCAACTATAACACTCTGTTTCTTCTTGACCTGTGCCCTGAAAACTCAATTCTAAATCAGTTTCTAACTAGCCTTCCATTAACCACATTGCCTATCCTGCTGTTACCCAGAAACTTTCTAATAATTTAGCATAATTTATCAGAAAATTTCAACTAGTTCAATATAACGTTGTCTTCTTTGTAATGCTTATATAAGCCACCTTCTCTAAAGATGGAGATATTTTTTATTCTGCCTTTAATTTTCAGATGTTTTTCCACCCTAGCTGTTTATCACACTGTTTCTCCAACTACAGTGGTCCTCCATTAGGATGAGATCTTTTACAAACAGTCAAGGTCATATAGCATCTATTTACAGATGTATTTTTTTTACATGTTGACAGCGTATAGTCCAAAAATCTCAAATCTGAAATGTTACATAATTTGGAACTTTTCAAAGCAATTTATGTTACATACATTGAAATTACTTGTGACATGATGCCACAAGTAGAAAATTCCACACCTGCCTGACCTCATGTGATGGGCCACAGTCAAAATGCAGTCAAAACTGTTTCATGTAGAAAAGTATTTAAAATATTGCATAAAATTACAATTTCTGCTTATGTGTATAAAGTATATATTATACATAATACATTTTGTGCTTAGATTTCAGTTCCATCTCCAATATGTCCCCTTATATACATGCAAACATTCCAAAATTTAAAAGAAAATCAGATTTGAAACACTTCTGTTCCCATGTATGTTGAATAAGGGATACTTACTATATATCAGACAGAGTGCTATGCATCCATGACATCATTGTGATGCAAGTTTTAGATATGTTTTATTATGAAAAAACAGAGATCAATATGTGACATGACTAAGATGGAAGCCGAGGTCTTCTAATTCTAATCACAGCATAATTTACATTACTATGCATTGTGTCAACTTGTCAACAGCCAAAAAGTATATAATAAAATGAAGGCAAACCTTGCCTTATATATTGACAATAACATTATTTAAATTTATGTTAATTGAATTATATATTAACATTGGTTATATCATGTATTAATATATTGACTGTATTAATATTTATTATATTAATTATGTTTTATATGTAAAACATTTATTATGAGTGAGACATGAAGGGTACGGCTCATCCTAGAGAAAAATTTCTCTCAATTTGTGGATTTGTGACACCGTAAAACAAGTTATTGGCTTCTAAATTATAATTGAGGGAAAGTCATAGAATGAACATTTTTATTTAAAAAAAGAAATGTTGGAAAGAAAAAAGGGATAATGTGTCCTAGGCAGGGCCAAAACCCACAGGACACATTTCATTAGATTTTAAGGCCTGAGAATAATCCTCTGTGGCTTCATAATCTGTTTTCTGGACCCACTGGAGCAGTGGTCTCACCCTCTGACCCCAAGGAGTTACCATCAGCCTAGGCCTCTACAGCTATAGTTCTGCCCTTGGAGTAATTCTTCTTCCATTCTATCCAATCTCTGACGTTTCCAGTCTAAGCTGGCAGTTTTTCTACTGATTAAAGATTTGCAAAATTCTTGGTCATTCATACAGTTTACATGGGTTCTTGCCATCAGACAAAAGGGTCCTACACAGATCTTTCCTGGATAACTGCATTTTTGTTCCTAGCTTCAGCTGAGATGGTTGATCCTATCCATGAGTCCAGCACCTTATATTTTTAATAAGTAATTTTCCAGCCGCACCTTAGACTTTGTTTTGAGGCTACGCTATCTGGATGGGCTGATGGTTTTCCAAATCATCAAGTGTTGATTCCTTTTTGCTTAGAAAATTGCTTTTAAAAAATTTTTCATTTCTCCTGTATTAAATATAAGCAACAAGAAAAAAAAATTAGAGTGTACCTTACAAACTTCTCTTGGAAATTTTTTCAGCCAAACATTCTGTTCACCACAGTGTATGTATTATTTATGGTAATTCGAGTTCTCTCTACGGCTCGCGTCTCTTATTTCTGATCATTCAACAGAATTGGTTGTAACATCCATATATCTACCAACAACCTCTTTAAGATTTTTTTTAAAAGTATATATCATAGTTGTACATATTTTTGAAATACTTGTGGTATTTTGATACTTTATTCTATGTATAATGATAAAATCTGGGTAATTGGGATATTATTATTGAATATTAGAACTTATTTCTTCTATCTAACTGTACCCATTAACCAACTTCTCTTCATCCTCCTTCCCTCCTTGTCTTCCCACTTTCTAGTAACCACCATTCTACAATCTACCTCCATGAGATCCACTTTACTTAGCCCCCACATAGGAGTGAAAATATGCAATATTTGTCTTTCTGTGCCTGGCTTATTTCCCTTCACATAGTGACCTCCAGTTCCATCCAGGTTGCTGCAAATGACAGAATATTACTTTTTCATAGCTGAGTATTACTCCATTGTGTATTTATATCACATTTTCTTTATCCATTAATTTGTCGATGGTCTCTTAGATTGATTCTATATCTTGGTGACTGTGAATACTGCTGTAATAAACATAAGTGTGTGGATAGCTCTATAATATACTGATTTCATTTCTTTTGAATATATACCCAGAAGTGGAACTGATAGATTGTATGGTAGTTTTATTTGCAGCTTTTTTTTTGTTTGAGAAACTCATGCTGTACTACTTTGCATTCCCACCAACAGTGTATGGCAGTTCCACTTTCTCTTCATCCTTTGTCAGCGTTTGTTTGTTTGTTTGTTTGTTTGTTTGTTTGTTGTTGTTATTTTGATGAAAATAGCCATTCTAACTGGAGTAAGATGATATTTCCCTGTGGTTTATATTTAGATTTCTCTGATGATTAATAATGTTGAATATTTGTTAATAAACCTGCTGGCCATTTGTATACCTTCTTTTGAGAAACATCTATTCAGGTCTTTGTCCAGTTTAAAATCAGATTGTTTTTTGCTATTGATTTGGTTGAGTTCTTTATATATACTGATTATTAATTCTTTGTGAGACGGAGACTTTGCAAATATTTTCTCACATTCTGAAGGTCATCTTTTCACTTTAAGTGTTTCCTTTACTGTGCAGAAACTTTTTAGTTGATGTAATATCTTTTGTCTATTTTTTTTTGCCTGTACTTTTGAGGTTTTCTCCAAAAAATTTTTGCCCAGACCAATGTCCTATGGCATTTTCCAATGTTTTCTTCTAATAGTTTCATATTGTCATGTCTCACATGTAAGTCCTAAGTCCATTTTGAGTTTATTTTTATTTTTGTATGTAGTGAAAGATAAAGATCTAGTTTTATTCTTTTGCAATTTGGATATTTAACGTTCTCAGCATTATTTGTTAAAAAGACTGTCCTTTCCCCAGTGCATATTCCTGGCACCTTGTTGGAAATTAGTTGGCTGTAAGTGCATGGATTTACTTTTGGCTTCTCTATTTTTGTTCTACTGGTCTATGCATCTGTTTTTATGCCAGCACCATAATGTTTTGACTACTATAGCTTTGTAGTAGAATTTAAAATTAGGTAGTGTGATGTCCATAGCTTTATTCTTTTTGCTCAGAATTCCTTTAGCTATGTGGGTTCTTTTGTGGATTCAAACAAACCTTAAGCTTTTTTTTTTAATATTTCTATGAAGAATGTCATTGGTATTTTGATAGGAATTGCATTAAATCTGTAGATTGCTTTGGATAGCCTAAACATTTAAAAATATTAACTCTTCTGTTTCATGAGCATGGGATATGTTTTCCTTTTTTTTTTTTTTTTTTTTTGGCCTATTCAATTTCTTTTTTCAGTTTTTGTTTGTTGGTTTCTTTGTTTTTGAGACAGGGTCTCATTCTGGTTCCCCAGGCTGGAGTGCAGTGGTACTATCTCAGCTCACTGCAGCCTGAACCTCCCAGGTTCAGGTGATTCTCCCACCTCAGCCTCCTGAGTAGCTGGGATTACAGGCATGCACCACCACAACTGGCTAATTTATTTTGTTGTTGTCCTTTTCATAGAGACAGAGTTTGCTATTTTGCCCGGGCTTGTCTCAAACTGCTAGACTCAAACAATCTACCTGCCTAGGCCTCCCAGAGTACTGGGATTACAGGTGTGAGACACTGTACCCGGCCTTAATAGTTTTGTTTGTTTGTTTGTTTGTTTATAAAGACCATTCACTTCTTTGGTTAAATTTATTCCGAGGTATCTTACTTATTGTAGCTATTGTAAATGGGATTGCTTTCATAATTTATTTTTTGGATTGACGATTGTTAGCATGTAGAAATTCTACTGATTTTTATATTTTGATTTTTGTATCCTGTAACTTTATTAAATTTATTTATCAGTTCTGAGTTTTTTCATGGTTCTTTAGGGGGTTCTTTAATGTAAAATAATGTAGTCTGCAAACAAGGACTAATTAATAGAGAAGGCTGCCACACAGAACCACGCAGGGAATTGCATCCAAGAAAAGGGTAACAGCAATCTGAAACTGTAAGAAGAGTCTTATGTATAGGCAGTAGGTTGAGGTTAGCTAGGTTTAACATGCTTCTTTTAGATTGTTTCAGTAATTCCACAGGCCCAAAGAAAAAGAGGTCATCCTAGATGTTTGGTATCAGGGTTTTTGGCAGTTGGATGTATGTGTTATAATCTAGGAGTGTTAGCATCTGATAAGGGAAATAGTCGAGGTATGAGTTTAGCAAACTGTCCACACAGGGGAAACTAAGAGCTTTTTAGCCATAATCTCAAAATAAGATTAATGCAGTACTTTTGAAATATCACAATGACATCTATACTTTTTCTATCAAAGACTTCAAAATTCAAACCTGTACCCATTACTCATTCCAAAGCCAGTTCTACATTTTTATATATTTGTTACATCAGCAACCCACTTCCCATTGCAAAAATCTTTACTAGTTTTCTATGGCTGCTGTTACATAGTATTACAAACTAGGTAGCTTAAAACAACAGAAAATTATTATCTCATAGTTCTGAAACCTAGAGGTCCAAATCAAGGTTTCAGCAAGGTCATGGTCTCTCTGAAAGATCTAATAAAAAATCTATTCCACGCCTTTGTCTTAGAATAAATTAGAGCTTAGAGGTTAAAAATCCAAACTGGGAATGCCAAAACCTGGATTTAAGTTCTATATTCTTTATTTTCTACTGTTCTGATGTCAAGTATGTTAACTACATCATAGATCCAATGTAGTTACATCATTGTCAGCAGCAAAAATGATATAATTTCTCTAAAATAAATATTTAATGCCTAACACATAGTATTCAGTCAATGCATGTGAATTGTTATATGTCACCAATTCAATATTTTTAGATCATATTTGTGAAGAAATATTTGAAATTATTCTTAATTTATTTCACATTTCATTATATCTTACATATATGTCTTTTAGGGTAATATTTAAGTGTTACATTACTTCAGTGGGATCATCAGTGATTACAGTTTTAATATCCCTAAACATTCTAATGGAATATTTATTGGTCCCTATAACATGCAACCCATAGACTTAAGCTTGAGACTATATAAAAATATGTAAAATTCACTAGTGGAAGATTTGTGTCTCTGGAGAGGATTAGCTTATCATGAGAAGCCAACACTTCTATTAAAACAACTGGATAAAACAGATAAATTATAATAACCACATTTTGAAAAACATCATACTAGTATGGAGGGAAGAAGAAATGTATGGGCAAAAATTGTACACAACTTTCAGCCTTTCCCAGGTGAACTGATGATCTTTAGTCACTTTCTTTGTATAATTATACATCAATTTCAGATGTAGGCTAAGGACTGAGCTTAGAATATTCAGAAGAACTCTACTGAAGAAAAAGACAAACCAGCAGTGCTTTTGATGTTTGTCCAGGAATGCATGAGGTATTAATGCACAGAAGAGCACACAGGCACCGCCAGTTTTCTTTGTGGGGCATTTACTAAGTTTACAGCTTGAAAGGCTGAAGACCCTGGGTTAAAGCTTTTAAAGGTCAGAGTGAAATGTTCTGTAGCCTCCTGTTTTGGGAAAACAAAATCCTGCTAAGAAAAGGTGCTTTGAAAAAACACAGTATTGGTCACCCTCTCAAGTTATTCGGATGTTGAAGCCATATGGGTTTTATAGGATAAAGAATGAACATGAAAATTACTGGACGGTACAACTAAATATTCTGAAATATTTCAGGTCTTAAGAGAAAAACTGGCCAGATTCTTAATTAATAGCCTGAGAGGGAGCACAACTAGTGATGAACGAAAAATAAACTAAGTCATACTAAAGCAAAACGTTTCCCTGCTTCCTGACACAATGAGGGGTGTGTATTGAAATTTCTGTAAAAATCGTTTCACACACAGTATTTTGTGTGTGTGTATATACATATACACACACACATATATATATGCTCATGTCATATATATGTATATATGTACATATACTACATGTGCATATATATACACACACATACATATGCTCATGTCATATATATGTGTGTATATATACATATACATACATATACTACATGTGCATATATATACACACAACATTTTAAATTAAAATTACAAATGTGAGTGACATCAGCAAGATGGGAAAATGTGAAGTTCAAGCTCTTGTTTCCTGAACAATAATATTGATTTTAGAATGGAATACAGACCAAAATACCTTTATGGGAACTCCAGAATCTATTTAAAACATTATAGTAGTGCAGAAAAATATAAAACCAAGAACATAGCATTGAAATAGGTACCAAGATCAATTTTTACTTACCCATATTACCTCCTCCTCCAAGAAAGCATAAGTACCAGGAGAGATGTCTTAATCCATTTTGTGCTGCTATAACAGAATGCCACAGATTGAGTAATTTATAGTAAACAGAAATTTATTTCTCACAGTTACGGAGGCTGAGAAGTTCAAGATAGAAGGGGGTGGTATCTGGTGAGGCTTTCTGTTGCATCATCCATGGTAGAAGGAGAGAGAAAGTAACAGAGAGAGAATTAAAAGGGGGCTGAACTCCATCTTTTATAATGAACCCCCTCCGGCAATAATGGCATCAATTCATTCACCTTGCCCTTATGGCCTAATAATTTCTTATTAGGCACCACCTCCAAACGCTGTTGCATTGAATTTTAAGTTTCCAAAAGATACTTTTGGGAGGACACATCTCAAATAACAAGAGGGCATCTTGGATGGCAATTTCTGCTTTGGGCAAGAGAGAGTGGGACATGTGTCCATTGTCCCCAGCATTTTAATACGCTGAAAGAGATGGGTTTCTGTCTTGTATCACCAAGAGCACTGTTGGAACTGGCATAGTTTGGACACCCGGGAGTGACTAAAAACAAAAGAAAGAGGCTCGTTATTTGCTACAGCAAGGACAACTTTGCAAGGTTGGGAGAATTTGCAGAACCTGAGGCTTCTCCCCACGAGGGAGAGGAGTGCAGTGTGTCTAAGGAGGAAAACAGGTTAAAAGTTATTTCAAAATGATTTAATTAATGCCCAAAACAGTACAAAAAATGAAAATAACTAACAACAGCTGAAACAATTAGAAAACATATAACAAGATAACAGATATTAATGTAGCCATGCCAGCAATTACATTAAATTAGATTAAGTACACTGAATTAGAAACAGATTGTCAACCAAGACTTCAAACAAAAATAAGACTCAATAAATTCTGATAATTAAAGTTACACTTTAAGGGCAAAATAGATTAAAAATAAAAAGTTGAAAAAAGCATCACTTAAAACTCACTTTAAGAAGTAGATGTGACATATTAATAAAAGCAAAGTATTCTGTAAGCCAAGAACTATTCAGAGTGATAAGAAGTTTATCTAATTTAATAAAAAGTTGAATTCAATAGAAAAACATGATATTTTAGAATTTTATACAACTACTAACAGTGCTGAATATATATAAAGCAAATAGTTACAGGAATAAAAGAGAGAAAAATAGATGAATCCACAGGCATATTTGGAAATTTTAACAGCTATGGCAAGCAATTAAACAATAAGTAAGAGTATATACAGATATCCTACAGCATAATCAACAGATTTATGCTATAGAAGACTAACAACTGCAAAATACACATTTAAAAAAATACATATGGAACAAAATGACTATATGTTGAGCTGAAAACAAAACCTAACAAATTCCAAGGGACTGAAACCATGAAAGATCTCTGATCACAGTGAAATTCAATATAAATCAATCCTGGATGTTTGGAAATTAAATGACACATTCCTGTGTAACCCATTGCTCAAAAAAATTAAGTAAAAATTATGAAGTATTTTGAACTGGATGATAGTGGAAATATGACTTATCAGAACCTGTGTGATGCAGGAAAAGTAGTATTTGATGGCAAATTTATTTCATTAAGTTATAAAATAAGGACCTTTAAAATTAGTGCTCTGGGGTGCCCTGAGAAAAGATATAAAAAACAGCAAATTAAGTCCAAATAAAGTAGAAAGAAAGAATCCCTAAAGCTAAGAGCAGAAATCAAGGTCATCAAAAGCTGATGTGCAGATGATGCCACTTCCAACAGTGCTCTTGATGATATAAGAGAAAAACAACAAAGTCAAAAGTTGATTCTCTGAAAATAAAATAATAAAATAAAACACAGTGTAAAATATCATCAGTGAAAAGGAGATATTATTACAGATATGATAGACATTCAAAATACAATAACATTATAAATAAAGTTTTGGTGCTGCAAAAGAAATAGCAGTAGAATATAAAATTTCCTTTTCAATTATCAGCAAGGCAAGCTCCTTCTATAGAAGGGTGAGCCCTTACAAATGGAGCAATGGTGAGTGCACACTTGGACAAGGGAGGGGAAGGGGTTCTTATCCCTGATGCACGTGACCCCTGCTGCTGTGTCATTCTGCTATTGGCTAGGGTTAGACTGCACAGGCTAAAATAATTCCTATTGGCTAATTTAAAGAGAGTGACAGGGTGAATGGTTTGGAGGGAAAAATGGTTATGACAGAGCAGTTATTAGGAATGAGTCAGGGTGGAGTAGGTGATCAGAATGAGTCAGAGTGGAGCAGATAATCGGAATGTGTCAGGGTGGAGCAGGTAATTGAAAAAGGTTGCTTTAGAGGAAGTTAAGTTTAAAAGTAGAAGGTAACGAATTGAACGTACTGGCATGTTGATTCTTTGAAAAGAAATTTAGAATTCGTATCTAACAACCCCTCCTCTTGCATTTCCTTACAGCTCTTTCTTTTCAAACTTTTTAACATGTCTTTGCTTAGCTGTTCTGCTTGATTTTCCAAAAGAAGAAGCTTCTCAGGATAAGGTGGAAGATAGTTAAGGGAGGTTTTAGTAAGTGCCATTTTTATAAGCCTCTGCACCAACCCACAGATGCATGGTGTGACACAGCACCTGACAAGAAAAAGTACACCCATTACAGCTGTGAGGGAAGTAAGAATTGAGGCTAATATTCTTTCCATTTACCCAACCACTTTTCTAGCCATTTTGTAAAGGGGTCATTTATCCCTGAGTTGCTGGCTAACTCATTGAACAGAGCAGTCAGACCTTGCAATGCCTTTGTTATACATCCATTAGGGGCAGTGTTGTTTGGGATGAAGGTGCAACATTCAGTTTTAATCATGACACAAACTCCTCCTCTTTCTGCTAATATCATGTCTAAGGCTATTCTGTTTTCCCAAGCCATCTGGGTAGTAGCCCCTAATTGCTCAGCTATTCCTTTAACAGCATCTCCAGTGTAGTTAATAAATCGCTGTTGGTTGTAATAGATGTAGTTTATCCAATCTACATTTTTATTAATTGTCACCACCAAAATATTGACTCAAATCCTGCAGCTATTTGATTTTGGCCTGTAAAGTGATTTGGTATTCCCCATGGGACTCCAATTGCGTTTAAATACACGTGAGAGTCAAAAGACCTGTAAGGTACTTCTCTCACTTTATGATGTCTTATTTTTCATTCCTCTGGTTGATGAAATGCTAGGGTGAAAGGGATAGCCAATTAGTCTAAAGCACTAGTGCCACTCCAGTTATTCAGCAGAGTGTCCAGTAATGGTCCACCACAATACTACCACACATCTGCTCACAGATGAACAAGGGCTGACTGATTGATAAGCTCTTGAAAATTCTTAAGCTCACTGCATCCCTTCAGGTCTCCAAGGAACACTAAATTTCCTCCCTGTCATGGGAGACACAATGTGAACTTAGTATTGGGAAACAGAAGCTGGATGACCCTCGGGGGCTGACCCACAGGGTGCTGGACTTCAGGATATAGCAGACAGAGAGTGTGGCACAACTTATTACTCCAGGCTGTAGAATCCTGGAAAACAGCTACCATGCAGCCCAGGCCCAGTCGACTGGAGAACCACCCTAGTGGAAAGAGGACAATCTGGGCCTCTGGCCTGCTATGTGCACAAGCATAACAATTGCTTTGGTTTAACATGTGGATGGAATATTTGATCCATTCCAACCAGGCATTTGCATACTGGTATCCTGTCTTAATTACCAAAGTTTGTTTTAAGTCTTTAACTTCTATGATAGCTATCTTGGTCTTGTCATTAGATGGAGGAGGAGCAATTGTTCCATTGTGAGAGGTTTTGGAAGAAGGCTTAGAAGAAGGGGCAGGCGGTGAGGGATCAAAGAAATGCATTTCAAAGAATCCAACAGGGTCTGTCCTTGAAACCTCAGCCCCCATACCATAAAACTGGCTTAAAGAAGGGAACTGACTTAGAAAATGGGAAGAACTTTGAGGGCTTGAGATAATAACCTGTATAGGATTACACTGGTTTAGCTGACAGTTGGTGGAGCGGGGGGGCTGTCCCTCTAGTAAAATGAATGTATGGTTTTAGGAAATTACAAAAACCAGTTGGGGAAGTCCATCCTTGCTCGTTAGTGGTCCACAGAATGTTGGACCAACTATGGCATAAAAGCTCTACATGGGGGAGCAAGACTCCTGGTTAACACTGTGGTCTTTATTGAAATCTCCCTGGGTTAAATGGTCCCAATTCACTAATGCCCAGTCTGAGGAAAGTCAGGAAGGACAGAGGTACTTTTCTGAAGTAGAGAGCCATCTTTGACTTGGCAAATCCCCACAGGGTATAACAAGGCAAGCATTAAATGCAATAGTTTGAGGCAAAATTGATTTGGTTATGTAAATAACTAGATGGTCAGCAATAGAGTGAGGAAAGAAGAAAGAGTAATAGAATAGATGAAAGAGAGTTAAATTTTTCTAGCTTTAGTTTGGTAGGGTTTTCCCCTGGGACTATGGCCCGCAATTCTGCAGGGAGTGGCACGTTCTTGACCCGGGTGTGATGAATCCATCCCCTTTTCACTATACGAACAGCAGTCTCAGTGGTTAGCAGCACAAGGTAGGGTCCTTCCCAGGCTGACTTGAGTTTTCCTTCTTTCCACCCTTTGATGAGAACGTGAACCTCAGGCTGGTGCTGGTTTACCAGAATTTCTGTAGGTGGTACCTGTGCTAAAAGACTTAGTTTTGAGGGAAAGGAAAGTGGAAGATAAACCAAGTATATAATTTCTAAGAAACTGACCTTTGTTTTAAATGTGGGAACATCAGCAGTGGACTTTACAGTCCTTGGTGCCTTCTTACTAAGAAATTTCCTTTAGCACCTATTTTTATTAGTTTTTAGACCATGAAAAGCCAAATACCATTTTATATTTGACAATGTTTCCTGTATGATTTTTATACCAGATAAGCTAAATTTCACCTTTATATTAGTGTGTTATTAATGTTAAACTTAATTTTAATAAAACCTTGTAGACATATTTATTCAATTTTTAATGTCTGACCATAAGGTAAGATTTTTATAGACTCTTTTTAACCTTTTATAGTTTCTGTTAAAGAGCAGGTTAGTGCTTTGAGAAAAAACTGTTGTGCTTTTATTTTAATATCCAGTTCACAGAAAGACTGGATTATACCACTTTAACTTCAGCTAATATGTTTACACACAGAATTTCCTTTACAATTAACATTTCAAAATTGCTTAAACCTTTAAAACAAAATATTTTTTAACCTTTTAATGTAGGTAAAAATCCACATTCTTATGCCTCCTTATAATCCTTTTACAAAAGGTATATTTTACTTTCCTTATACACCTTGCACATAAACTGTTTCTTGAATAGTTTTACATTCAGGCGGCCTAAATACTTTTAAATTATACAACATTTCTTGCATAAATTCCCTTTTATAACTTTTTTCATGACTTTTACAGACAATTCTTTGACATGCCTCAACTTTCTGACTTGTTGCAAACATCTCTCTCTTTAAACAACCAGTTAATTTATTTTAGAGCAAGAACTTCCCATGTAACATTCATTTTTACATAAATTCTCCCCCTGCTTCTTTTTTATTTTTTTTTTAAATGATAATCATTCTTTTCCAAAGCGAACTTCCTTCATGTCTGTGGACTAGGCTGTCTAAGGCCACAAGATTAGAAGTTAGGATAATACATGTTACACTGCTAACTTTTAGCAAACTTTACTTTTGTTGAAAAATTTTAAGTTGGGGATTTCAATTATTCTTTGCTATTAATAAGACCTAGTTCAGTCCATATTAACTTAGAATTAGTATAGATGGCTTTTTCCTGATTCTGTAAGTACTTTAAGGCTTGGCTGAGTGCAAACAGCTTGCACATTTGAGCAGACCAATTATTAGGCAATTTTCCTAACAATGCTTCTACAAGAGTTTCCTTATCACTTACTGAATACCCTTGTGTCTTTTTCTCTCAATCAACTGGGAGGAACCATCTATTGTCCTGTCCTGAAGTGAGTTCCTCCTAGGTCTGGTCGGACCTTTGTATGGTAATTAAGATTTAAATCCTCTGTTAGGAAACCTGCTGGGTTAAGGGAATTTTCAGTGGTTAATGTTAAATCATCTTTTTCTAACAGAATCATCTTACACTTTAAGTACTTTAAGGTTCTTGAGTCAATAAGCTACATTTTTGCTTTTTTTTTTTTTTTTCACTTAGGATAGTTCTGACCTGATGAGGTGTGCTCACAATGAGGTTTCCTCTAAAAGTTATTTTTCTACTTTCTTCTGTTAGCAAAGCAGTTGCTGCTACAGATTGAATGCATTTGGGCCAACCGTGGATTACCGCTTTAAGGATTTTTGATTAGGAAGGCTACGGGTTGTCGGTGGTCTCAGTTCTTTTGGGCTATGCCCTTGTTTACACTGACAACAAGGTGGTATTGGAGTGTTATAAGGTGATGGAGAAGACCTTCAATTATTCATTATAGGTTTTAAATTTACCCTGGCTTTTAAAGAAATAGGATACACTCTTTTCTCTTTACTACTTCTAAGTCTCTCTTTCTCCCTCTCTTCCTCTCTCTCTCTTTGACTCTCTGTCTCTTTCTTTTTCTATCTTTGACTCCCTCTTTATCTTTCTGTCTCTTTCTCTCTCTCTCTCTCTCTGCCTCTTTCTCTCTCTTTTCGACTCTCTGACTTTTTCTCTCTCTTTCTTTCTGACTTCCTCTCTCAGTTTCTCTTTCCTCTTTGCTGATCTTTCCCTGCCTCTGCCAGCCACTTATGCTGGTGTTCTCCCCTCTCCTTCCCCTTCTCCTAGGGGAGGGGGTGGTGGGAGTGGAGCTACTCTGTCTTCCCCCAAGACAAAAGGAAAGGGGAGTACTGAGTATTTTTCTTACTACTGGAGGTTTGTGTGAGGTTTGACGCACTGAAATTTGCAGAAGCCTCAATCCCTCAAACCAGGGATGTCTCGCCTTGCTTGCCCCGGAAGGCTTACTCCCTCAAACCAGGGATGTCTTGCCTTGCCTGCCCTGGCAGGGTCAACCCCTCAAACCAGGGATATCTCACCTTGGGCTGCTCTGTAAGGTTGACCTGTTTCCTCCCTTTCCCCTTCTGAAGGTCCCTTGCACACTTCCCACTCTCTGGCTGCTCCCCCAGGGGAGAATTAGGCCCTTCTTAGTGTTAGCGTGCCAGTATAAATCCCATGGCAGGATACGCCCTAAGCCATATGAGGTAGCTATGGAAACGCAGAGAGAACCCACTCCCTCCATCCAGCAGTAGGACTTGTCATCATCCACACGAACAACACTGCAAGTAGGGTTGTTTGTAATCAGTCACGCACACACACATTTAGCCCTCCAGAATTTGACCACCAAGGAAGTACTTTACCAGCTCCCGTGGCTTCTCCTTTCTTGATCTGTGCACAGAGTCATTCCTGCAGCTAGGTTGCTAGGGAGTTTCTTTCTGCATTGCTGAGAGCTCAAGTTATATCTTGCACTGGGTGGGTCCTGATTTCTCACCCCTGAGGCTGCCACAAGGGGGCGGAGCAAGCCTGCTTGCAAGAGAGGACCAGAGATCACCCTCGGAGGGGAATGTAATCCTGGATGAGCCCCCAAATTGTTATAAATAAAGTTTTGGTGCCACAAAAGAAATATCACTCCAATATAAAATTTTCTTTGTAATTCTCGCAAGGCAATGTACTTCTATAGAAGCATGTGCCCTTGCATATGGAGCAATGGTGAGCACACACTTGGACAAGGGAGGGGAAGAGGTTCTTATCCCTGACACATGTGGCTCCTGCTGCTGTGTCATTCCCCTATTGGCTAGGGTTAGACTGCACAGGCTAAACTAATTCTGATTGGCTAATTTAAAGAGAGTGATGGGGTGAGTGGTTTGGTGGGAAAAATGTTTATGGCAGAGCAGGAAATCTGAATGAGTCAGGGTGGAGAATGAGCAGGTAATTGGAATGAGTCAGGGTGGAGCAGATAATTGGAATGAGTTGGGGTAGAGTAGGTAATTGGAATGAGTCAGGGCAGAGAAGGTAATTGAAAGATTGCTTTACGAGGAAGTTAAGTTTATCGCCAAGTAGAAGGCAAATAATTGAACATACTGACATATTGATTCTTTGAAGAGAAATTTAGAACTCATATCTAACAGTGAAACTAAACTCTCTACTAAAACTACAAAAATTATCCAGGGTTGGTGGCAGGACCCTGTAATTTCAGTGATTTGGGAGGCTGAGGCAGGAGAATTGCTTGAACTCAGGAGGTGGAGGTTTCAGTGAGCTGAGATCAGGCCACTGCACTCCAGCCTGGGTAATAGAGTGAGACTCCATCTCAAAACACAACGAAGCAAACACCTAAAAAAAAATCCAACTACAGAAAACATTGTATTTAATGATAAAATATTGAATATTGTCTCCCAAAGATCAGGAAGAGTACATCTCCAATATTGCCACTTCTATTCAACATTGTTTTGATATTTTAGCAATTGAATAAAAAATGAAAAAAAAACTGCAATCAAATTTAAAGATTGGAAAAAAGTACAACCTTTATTATTTGCAAGTGGCATTACTGTGTACATAGAAATTATTTTTCAAATTTTAAAACATAATTGCTAAGTGAATGTATCAAGTTTGCCCGAGGTAAATACAACATAAAAAGTAATTGTATTTTTATATATTAGTGTCAAAAATTAGAAAATAAAACAAATTAGCAAAATGAAAATAGCAGAAAAATCACATGAAACACATGACTTCATATAATTAAAGTTTTGAAGACATCTGCATTGTATACTCTTACAGTGAGGTATATTTAAGGAGACGTAAATAAACTGAGAGCTATACTATAGTAATAAATTGACATGTTGAGTTATGTTAAGATGTCCATGACGGTACCATAGACTGTGTGGTGTTGTTGCATGGATAGGCAAACTACCAAAGTAAAGGATAGAAGGTGCTGAAATAGACCCATTTATATCTGATTACTGCTATGGTCTGAATGTGTCTCTCAAAATTCATACTTTGACACTTAATTGCCAATGTGAAAGTCTTAAGAAATGGGTACTGTAGGGAGTAATTAAGTAATGAGAGTGCAGTCCTCCTGGATAAAATTAGAGCCCTTGGTTAAAGGACTTGAGGCAATGGGTTTGCTCTCTTCCTCTTTTGTGCCATGTGAGAACAAAGTGTTAGCATTCTTTTGACTTTCTGTCCTTTCTACCACATGAGGTAAGTTACAAGGTGCCATCTATGAGAAACAGGGCTTCACCAGACACTGAACCTGCTGGCACTTTGATCTTGGGCTTCCCAGCTTTCATAACTGTTAGAAAACAAAATACTGTTCTTTAAAATTTACCTAATCTCATGTATTTTGCTATAGCAGCACAAAGATAGTTACCTTAATTAACTGAACAGTTCCACCAGAATTTAGTGGATTTAGATAGTCATTTTAATAAATAGTACTATAGCCATTCCCTTCATTTAAAAAATTGAGAAGATATCTATTTGAGAGTAATGCCAGAACTACATATGAATGTAAAGTAATTCAAATTTAGAAAAAAATTAGGAAGCTTGTCTTCATAAACATGGGATTGAAAATTATATTTTTATGTTAAATTTTTGTGGGTGCATAGTATGTGTATGTGTACCTAAATACTTTGATACAGGAACAAAATGCATAATAACCATATCAGGGTAAATGAGGTATCTGTCACCTAAAGCATTTATTCTTTTGTTATGTTACAAAGAATTCAATTATACTATTTTAATTATTTTTAAATGTACAAAAATTATTGTTCACTGTAGTCACCTTGCTGTGTTATCAAATGCTTGAGATTATTCACTCTCTCTAATTTTATTTTTGTACCCATTAACCATCCCCACATCCACCCCATCTAACCCTTCCCAGCCTCTGGTAACCACCCTTCTACCCTTTATCTCCATGAGTTCAATTGTTTTAATTTGCAGCTCCCACAAATAAGTGAGAACATGCAAAGTTTTTGTTTCTGTGCCAGGCTAAATTCACTTAACATAATCATCTCCAATTCCATTCATATTGTTGCAAATGACAAGATCTCATTCATTTATATGGCTGAATTGTACTCCCTTGTGCATATGTAACACATTTTCTTTATTTGTTTGTCTGTCTATTGCTTCCAGATCTTGGCTATTGTGAACAGCAGCACTGCAATAAACATGGGACTGCAAATATCTCTTCTATATGCTGATTTCCTTTCCTTTGGGTATACACCTAACAGTTTGATTGCTGAATCATATGGTAGCTCTATATTTAGCTTTTTGATGAACCTCCAAACTGTTCTCCCTAGTGGCTGTAATAATTTATATCATCAACGTGTATGAGTGTTCCCTTTTCTCAGTGACCTTGATAGCATTTGGGATCACCACTATTTTGGATAAAAGTCATTTCAACTAGGGTAGGATGATATCTCATTATGGTTTTGATTTGCATTTCTCTGATGATGAATAATGTTAAGCACCTTTTCATACACCTTTTAGCCATTTGTGTGTCTTCTTTTGAGAAATACCTATTCAGATATTTTGCCTATTTTTAAATCAGATTATTATTTTTTTTCCCATTGAGTTTTTTGAGCTCCTTATATATTCTGGTTATTAATCTCATATTGGATGAATAGTTTGCAATTTTCTTCCAATCTGTGGGTTATCACTTCACTGTGTGGATTGTTTCCTTTGTCATGCAGAGGCTTTTTAACTTGATGTGATCCCATTTGTCCATTTTGGCTTCAGTTACCTGTTCTCATGGGGTATTACTCAAGAAACTGTTGCCCAGTTCAATGTCCTGAAGAGTTTCCCCAATGTTTTCCTTTAGTTAGCTTGAGGTCTGAGACTAAAATCTTTGTAATTCATTTTGATTTTTTTTTCATATGGTGAAAGAAAGGGGCCTAGCTTCATTCTTTTGCATATGAATATCCAGATTTCCCAGCACCATTTATTGAAGAAAGTGTTCCTTCCCTAATGCATGTTCTTAGCACCATTGTCAAAGATGAGTTTACTGTATATATGTAAATATATATAATTTATATATTTATATAAAAATATAATTTATATATATATTTATATAAAAATATAATTTATATATATATTTATATAAAAATATAATTTATATATATTTATATAAAATATAATTTATATATATTTATATAAAAATATAATTTATATATATTTATATAAAAATATAATTTATATATATTTATATAAAAATATAATTTATATATATATTTATATAAAAATATAACATATATATATATATACACACACATATATATATATATATATGTCACTGGGTTCTCTATTCTGTTCCATTGGTCTATGTGTCTGTTTTTAGGCCAGTACCATGCTGTTTTGGTTACTATAGCTCTATAGTATAATTTGAAGTCAGGTAATGTGATTCTTTCATTTTTTTTCTTCCTTTTTGCTCAGAAGAGCTTTGACTATCTCTGGGTCTTTTGTGGTTCCACATAAATTTTAGGGTTTTTTTCTATTTCTATGAATAATATAATGGTTATTTTGATAAGGATTGCATTGAATGTGCAGACTACTTTTCATAGTATGGACATTTTAACAATACATATTCCTCCAGTCCATGAACATAAAATATCTTCCTATTTTTTATGTCCTCCTCAATTTCCTTCATTAATGTTTTAAAACTTTTATCAGAGAGATCTTTCTCTTCATTGGTTAATTAAATCCTAGATATTTTATTTTGTTTGGAGTATCATATGTGAGATTATTGTCTTGATTTTCTTTTCAGATTCTAGTCTGTTGGCATATAGAAATGCTACTGATCTTTGGTGCTGATTTTGTATCCTACAACTTTACTAAATTTATCATTTATAATATTTTTTCATAGAGACTTTAGATTTTTTCAAAAATAAAATTATATAACCTGCAAACAAGGATAATTTAACAACTTCCTTTCCAATTTAGATGACCTATATTTCTTTCTCTAGTGTGATTGCTCTAGCAATACTTCCAGTATTATGTTGAGCAACAGCAACGAAAGTGGGCATCCTTGTTGTGTTTGCCTATCTGAGAGGGAAAGTTTTCAGTTTTTTATTGTTTTGTATGATACTAGCTGTGGGTTGGTTACATATGGCTTTATTGTGTAGAGGTATGTTCCTTCTACCCACAATTTTTTTAGCATTTTATACATGAAGGGATGTTGAGTTTTACAAATGCTTTTTCAGCATCAATTGAAATGATTATATGGTGTTTGTTCTTGATATAATTTGTCTCATTGATTAATTTGCATTTGTTGAATTATCCTTGCATTCCATGGATAAATCCCACATGGTTATAATGAATGATTTTTCTAATGTGTTGATGAATTCTGTTTGCTGGAACTTTGTTCAGAATTTTTGTGTCAAGGTACATCTGAGATATCGACTTGTAGTTTTTGTTGTTTTGTTTTTATGTGTCTCTGTCTGGTTTTGATATCAGGTTAATACTGGTATTGATATGTTTTGGGTGTGTTACTGCCCAAAGCTTATCTTGAATTTAACTCCCATAATTCTCATGTTTCATGGGAGAAGCCCATTGGGAAGTGACTGAATTATGGGGGTGGGTCTTTCCTGCACTGTTCCCCTGTTAGTGAATGAGTCTCAGGAGATACGATGGTTTTAAAAATGGGAGTTTCCCTCCGCAAGCTCTCTCTTTCCCTGCTGCCATCCATGTAAAATGTGACTTTCTCCTCCTTGCCTTCCACCATAATTGTGAGGCCTCCCCAGTCATGTAGAATTGTAAGTCTCTTAAACCCCTTTCTTTTTTAAATTACCCAGTCTTGGGTATGTCTTTATCAGCAGCATGAAATGGACTAATTGAATAAATTGGTACCAATAGAGTGGGGCACTGCAGAAAAAATAACTGAAAATGTGGAAGTGACTTCACAACTGGGTAACAGGCAGAAGTTGAAACAATTTGGAGGGCCCAGAAGAAGACAGAAAGTCATGGAAAAGTTTGGAACTAACTAGAGACTTCTTGAATGGCTTTGACCCAAATGCTGATAATGATATGGGCAATGAGATCCAGGAGGAGGTAGTCTCAGATGAAGATGAGGAACTTGTTGAGAACTGGAGCAAGGTGACTATTGTTATACTTAGCAAAGAGACTGGCAGTATTTTGCATCTGTCCTAGAAGTTTGTGGAACTTTGAATTTGAGAAAGATGATTTAGGATATCTGGCAGCTGCACACATTTGCATACGTAATGATAAGCCAAATATTAATCCCCAAGACAATGGGAGAAATATCTCCAGGGCACATCAGACATCAGAGGTCTTCATGGCAGCCCCTCCAAACACAGATCCAGAGGCCTAGGAGGAAAAAGTGGTTTTGTGCACTGGGCCCAGCGTCCCCGTGCTGTATGCAGCATAGGGACTTAGTTCCTTGCTTCCAGCCACACCAGCGATGACTGAAAGAGGCAAGATAGAGCTTGGGCCATGGCTTCAGAGGGTGCAAGCCTCAAACGTTGGCAGCTTCCATGTGGTGTTGAGCCTGTGAGTGCACAGAAGTCAACAGTTGAGTTTTGGAAATCACCACCAGGATTTCAGAAGATGTATAGAAACACCTGGATGTCCAGGCATAAGTTTACTGTAGGCACAGTGCTCTCATAGAGAACCTTTGCTAGGGCAGTGTGGAAGGGAAATATGGGGTGAGAGCCCCCACACAGAGTGCCTACTGGGGCACCACCTAGTGGAGCTGTGAGAAGAGGGCCACTGTCCTCCACACTCCAGCATGGAAGATTCACTGACAGCATGCACTGTGCACCTGGAGAAGCCACAGACACTCAACGCCAGCCCATGAAAGCAGCCAGGAGGGAGGCTGTACTCTGCAATGCCACAGGGGCAAAGATGACCAAGAGCATAGGAACCCACCTCTTACATCAGCATCACCCAAATGTTAGACATGGAGTTAAAGGAGATCATTTTGAAGCTTTAAGATTTGACTTCCCCACTGGATTTTACACTTGCATGGGGCCTGTAGGCCCCTTGTTTTTAATTTCTCCCATTTGGAATGGCTGTATTTACCCAATGCCTGTACCCCCATTGAATCTAGGAAGTAACTAGCTTGCTTTTGATTTTACAGGCTCATAGGCAGAAGGGACTTGCCTTGTCTCAGATGAGACATTGGACTATGAACTTTTGAGTTAATGCTGAAATGAGTTAAGACTTTGATTTGGTTGTGTTCCCATCCAAATCTCATCTTGAATTGTGATTCCCACAATGCCCATATGTTGTGGGAGAAACCCAGTGAGAGGTGATTGAATTATGGGGACAGATCTTTCCTGCACTGTTCTCATGATAGTGAATGAGTCTCAGTAGATCTGATTATTTTAAAAATGGGAGTTTCCCTGCACAAGCTCTCTCTTGGCCTGCCGCCATCCACATTAGATGTGACTTCCTCCTCCTTGCCTTCTGTGATGATTGTGAAGCCTCCCCAGCCATGTGAAACTGTAAGTCCATTAAACCTCTTTTTTTGTAAATTGCCATGCTTGGGTATGTCTTTATCAGCAGCATGTAAATGGACTAATACAGGCATCATAGAATGAGTTTGGATGTATTCCCTCCTCTTCTATTTTTTAGAGAGTCTGAATGGGATTGGTATTAGTTCTTCTTTAAATGTTTGTTAAAATTCAGTGGTGAAGCTATTGGTACTGGGTTTTTTTTTTTATTGTTGGGAGACTTTACTATGGTTTTGAATTTTTATATGTTATTGTCTATTCAGGTTTTAGATTTCCTCATAGTTCAATCTTGGTAGGTTGTATGTGTCTAGGAATGCATCTATTTCTTCTAAGTTTTTCAATTTATTGACATACAATTGCTGATAGTAGCTTTTAATGATCCCTTGAATTTCTGCAGTTTCAGTTGCAATGTCTTCTTTTTCTTTGATTTTATTTATCTTTCTTTTTTTTCTTAGTTTGCTAAACCTTTGTTGATTTTGTTTATCTTTTCATAAAACCAACTTTTTGTATTGTTGATCTTTTATATTGCTTTCTTCATTTCAATTTCATTTATTTCTGCTCTAATTTTTAAATTTTTTTCTACTAATTTTAGGTTTGGTTTGCTCTTGCTTTTCTAGTTCTTTAAGATATATCCATAGGTTGTATATTTGAAGTTTATCTCTTTTGTATGTAGGCATTTATAGCTATAAATTTATCTCTTAATACTCCTTTTGCTGTGTCCCACAGATTTTGGTATGTTGTTTCCATTATCATTTGTTTCATTATTTTTTTAAAATTTCCATCATAATTTTTGATCCAATGGACATTCAAGAGTATATTGTTTAATTTACTTGTATTTTTATATTTTTCAAAGTTTCTATTGTCATTAATTTTGAGTTTTATTTCATTGTGGGGAGAGATGACATTTGATATGATTTCAAAATATTTGAATTTTTGAAGACTTGTTTTATGTCCTAATATATGGTCTATTGTTGATAGCAATTCTTATGTTGAGAAAAGGAATGTGTATTCTGCAGCTGTTGGATAAAATGTTTTATAAATATCGTGTTAGGTCTATTTGGTCTATAGCATAGACTAAGTTCTTTGTTTCTTCATTGATTTCCTCTCCAGATTATCTGTCCGATGTTAAAAGTGGTCTGTCAAAGAGTCCAGCTATTGTCGTTTTGGGTTATTTCTCCCTCTTAAGCTCTAGTAATATTTGCTTTAAACATTTGTTTGCTCCAGTGTTGAGTGCATATATATATATATTTATAATTGTTATAACCTCTTGCTAAAGTGATTGCTTTATCATTATATAATGACATTTATGTCTCTCTCTTTTTTTTAATTATACTTTAAATTCTAGAGCACATGTGCACAACGTGCAGGTTTGTTACATAGGTATACATGTGCCATGTTGGTTTGCTGCACCCATTAACTGGTCCTTTACATTAAGTATTTCTCCTAATGCTATCCCTCCCCCTGCCCCCCACCCTATGTGTGATGTTCCCTGCCCTGTGTCCAAGTGTTCTCATTGTTCAATTCCCACCTGTGAGTGAAAACATGCAGTGTTTGGTTTTCTATCCTTGTGATAGTTTGCTGAGAATGATGATTTCCTGTTTCATCCATGTCCCTGCAAAGGACATGAACTTATCCTTTTTATGACTGCATAGTATTCCATGGTGTATATATGCCACATTTTCTTAATCCAGGCTATCATTGATGGACATTTGGGTTGGGTCCAAGTTTTTGCTATTGTGAATAGTGCCACAATAAACATACATGTACATGTATCTTTATAGAAGCATTATTTAAAATCCTTTCGGTAAATACCCAGTAATGAGATCACTGGGTCAAATGGTATTTCTAGTTCTAGAACCTTCAGGAATCACCACACTGTCTTCCACAATGGTTGAACTAGATTACACTCTCACCAACAGTGTAAAACTGTTCCTATTTCTCCACATCCTCTCCAGCATGTTGTTTCCTGACTTTTTAATGATCGCCATTCTAACTGGTGTGAGATGGTATCTCACTGTGGTTTTGATTTGCATTTCTCTGATGACCAATGATGATGAGCATTTTTTCATGTGTCTGTTGGCTGCATACATGTCTTCTTTTGAGAAGTATCTGTTCATATCCTTTGCCCACTTTTTGATGGGGTTGTTTGTTTTTTCTTGTAAATTTGTTTAAGTTCTTTGTAGATTCTGGATATTAGCCCTTTGTCAGATGGGTAGATTGCAAAAACTTTCTCCCATTCTGTAGGTTGCCTGTTCACTCTGATGATAGTTTCTTTAGCTGTGCAGAAGCTCTATAGTTTAATTATATCCCATTTGTCTATTTTGGCTTTTGTTGTCATTGCTTTTGGTGTTTTAGTCATGAAGTCCTTTCCCATGCCTATGTGCTGAATGGTATTGCCCATGTTTTTTTCTAGGGTTTTTATGATTTTTGGTCTAACATTTAAGTCTTTAATCCATCTTGAATTAATTTTTGTGTAAGATGTAAGGAAAGGATCCTGTTTCAGCTTTCTACATATTACCAGGCAGTTTTCCCAGCACCATTTATTAAATAGGGAATCCTTTCCCCATTTCTTGTTTTTGTCAGATTTGTCAAAGATCAGATGGTTGTAGATGTGTGGTGTTATTTCTGAGGCCTCTGTTCTGTTCCATTGGTCTATCTCTCTGTTTTGGTAACAGTGTCATGCTGTTTTGGTTACTGTAGACTTGTAGTATAGTTTGAAGTCAGGTAGTGTGAGCCTCCAGCTTTGTTCTTTTTGCTTAGGATTGTCCTGGCAATGCGGGCTCTTTTTTGGTTCCATATTAAGTTTAAAGTAGTTTTTTCCAATATTGTGAAGAAAGTCATTGGTAGCTTGATGGGGACAGCATTGAATCTATAAACTACCTTGGGCAGTATGACCATTTTCACGATACTGATTCTTCCTATCCATAAGCATGGAATGTTCTTCCATTTGTTTGTGTCCTCTTTTATTTCGTTGAGCAGTGGTTTGTAGTTCTCCTTCACATCCCTTGTAAGTTGGATTCCTAGGTATTTTATTGTCTTTGTAGCAATTGTGAATGGGAGTTCACTCATGATTTGGCTCTTTGTTGGTCTGTTGTTGGTGTATAGGAATGCTTGTCATTTTTGCACATTGATTTTTGTTTCCTGAGACTTCATTGAAGTCACTTATCAGCTTAAGGAGATTTGGGGCTGAGATGATGGGGTTTTCTAAATATACAATCATGTCATCTGCAAACAGGGACAATTTGACTTCCTCTTTTCCTAATTTAATACCCTTTACTTCTTTCTCTTGCCTGATTGCCTTGGCCAGAACTTCCAGCACTATGATGAATAGGAGTGGTGAGAGAGGGTATCCCTGTGTTGTGCCAGTTTTCAAAGGGAATGCTTCTAGTTTTTGCCCATTCAGTATGATATTGGCTGTGGGTTAGTCATAAACAGCTCTTATTATTTTAAGATACATTCCATCAATACCTAGTTTGTTTACAGTTTTTAGCATGAAGGGCTGTTGAATTTCGTTGAAGGTCTTTTCTGCATCTATTGAGATAATCATGTGGTTTATGTCGTTGGTTCTGTTTATGTGATGGATTACATTTATTGATTTGGGTGTGTTGAACTAGCCTTGCATCCCAGGGATGAAGCCAACTTGATAGTGGTGGATAAGCTTTTTGATGTGCTGCTGGATTTGGTTTGCCAGTATTTTATTGAGGATTTTCGCATCGACAATCATCAGGGATATTGGTCTAAAATTCTCTTTTTTTGTGGAGTCTCTGCCAGGCTTTGGTATCAGGATGATGCTGACATCTTAAAATGAGTTAGTGAGGATTCCCTCTTTTTCTATTGATTGGAATAGTTTTAGAAGGAATGGTACCAGCTACTCTTTGTACCTCTGGTAGAATTTGGCTGTGAATCCATATGGTCCTGGACTTTTTTTGGTTGGTAGGCTATTACTTATTGCCTCAGTTTCAGAGCCTGTTATTGGTTTATTCAGCAATTCAACTTTGTCCCGGTTTAGTCTTGGGAGGGTGTATGTGTCCAGGAATTTATCCATTTCTTCCAGATTTTCTAGTTTATTTTGTGTAGAGGTGTTTATAGTATTCTCTGATGGTAGCTTGTATTTCTGGGGGATCGGTGGTGATATCCCCTTTATCATTTTTTATTGCATCTATTTGATTCTTTTTTCTTCTTTATTAGTCTTGCTAGTGGTCTATCAATTTTGATGATCTTTTGATACTTTCTGTTTTAGTATCTATTTAGTGTGATATAAGTATAGCTAATCCTGCTCTCTTTTTTGTTTCCATTTACGTGGAATTTATTTTTTCATCCTTTTATTTTCAATTTCAATGAGTCTTTATTGGTGAAGTGTGGCAATTGTAGGCAATAGATCATTGCATCTTGCTTTCAAAATCCATTCGACCACTCTGTCTTTCAGTTGGAGAGTTTTAATCCATTTACAGTCAATATTATAAGTATAATTGATAAGTAAGGACTTACTCCTGTCATTTCATTTGTTTTCTGGTTGTTTGGTGGTCTTCTATTCCTATTTTTTCCTTTCTGTCTTTCTTTTAGTGAAGGTGATTTTCTCTGGTGGTATGTTTTCATTTGTTGCTTTTTACTTTTTAGATATCTGTTGTATGTTTTTTGATTTGATGTTACCATGAGGCTTATGAATAATATCTTAAAACCCACCATTTTAAACTTATGACAACTTAACAGTGATTGCATCCACACACAACCTAGCAAACAAGCAAAGAGAATACTAATAACAACTCTGCACTTTAACTTTATCCTCCCGCATTTTAAGTTTGTGGTTTCTATTTTTACCTTATTGTACTGTTTGTGTCATGAAAAGTTGGTATAGCTTTTATTTTGATCACTTCATATTTTAGTTTTTCCCCTCAAGATATGAGTAGTTTATAATATTCTGTCTTTTTCTCTAGACTTACTATGACCATTGAGTTTTGTACCTTCAGATGATTGCTCATTTCCTCATTAAATTTCTTTTATTTCAGATGAAAGAATTCCTGTTAGCAATTCTTGTAGTAGAGGACTAGTGTTGATAAAATGCCTCAGCTTTTGTTTGTATTGGAAAGTCTTTATTTTTCCATAATGTTTCAAGAACACTTTTACTGGATATACTAAACAACATAACCTTTACATAATTACTTGTAGTATGCACTACTTTATATTTAATTTTAATGTACTTTCATTATATTTTAATATTAAGTTATTCCTATGTAATTAGGAAATAGAGGAAAATGCAGGTATATCTGATAAGAACATCAATAAGCCATTCACTTTCCATGCTATTTTATAGAAGGTCATTTTGCACACAAATTTTTATTTATTATGACTTTTTAAAGAACTGAGAGCAAATATTCTTCATTAAAAAAGGCAAATAAAATAAGATTTATGATATACAAATACATGCCATGGTACAGAGCATAACAATTATATGATTTATATTTTTAATAATAAGTCCAGTATTCTTAAATTGAGAGATTGCCTTCAGGTAAATTTAGATACTTTAAATTGAATAGTTATTGGGAATATCTATGCTACTAATCT